>NW_025791817.1:0-140567 GCF_000001405.40 Homo sapiens | reverse complement strand
GCAGTGAGCCGAGATCGTGCCACTACACTCCAGCCTGGGCGACAGAGTGGGAATCCGTCTCAAAAAACAAAACAAAAAAAAGTTCGTGGCTTTTAAGCTTATAGTCTAGTTGGAATGACAAATTGTGGACACTGTGAAATAATTAAAGAACTATAGAAGATCCTTGTGATGCCCCACCTCACCCCCTGACTATGAGGTGGCTTGGGCTGCTATTAATATATATTTCGAGAGGTTCCATGACTTGTCCAAGGTAACCAAGGCACAGGGCAAGCCCCAAAAGCTGCATGTGCTGGCTCTTTTAATGAGCTGTTCCTTTCAATGTTGCATTCTGGGATCCAGACCGTAAATGCCGGCCCATACCAAGAGCATCTGGATGATTCTGGCTTGAACTAGTCCCACAATGTGAACAATGAAGCTTTCTCTAGTGGCAATCTAGGTAGTGGTCATTCTCCCAAGTGAACTTTCAGGGGCTAACTTTGCCCTACAAAGTTAGCTGGGGTTGGTCTGGGTCAACTGTCTCAGAGCAACTGTCTTCAGGTGGGGAAAAGATTGCTGCTGCACTCTGGTTTTGCTATCATCACGTGGCAGTTACCCTTTGATTCCCTTTGAGGTCTCTGCTTCAGGCGTTCCTACCACCACCCACTAAAGGTAGTATCGTACCTCAAACATAGAAAACAAAACCCTATTACCTAGCTCTATTGGTGATACAACACGGAAGAAAGTTTACATGGCCCTAAATATTTAAAAATGTTGATTCTAAATTTGAGGGGTTTTTGGACAGTCATTACATTATTTTCTAACTTCTCTGTGTGTTTGGGATGTTTCTTTTCTTCTTTTCCTTTTTTTTTTTTTTTTCCCCGAGATGGAGTCTTGTTCTGTCGCCCAGGCTGGAATGCAGTGGCGCGATCTCAGCTCACTGCAACCTCCGCCTCCTGGGTTCAAGAAATTATCCTGCCTCAGCCTCCCGAGTAGCTGGGATTACAGGTGTGCACCACCGTGCCCAGCTAATTTTTGTATTTTTAGTAGAAACAGGGTTTCACCATGTTGGCCAGGCTGGTCTCGAACTCCTGACCTCGTGATCTGCCCACCTTGGCCTCTCAAAGTCCTGGGATTACAGGTGTGAGCCACAGCGCCCGGCCTGGGATTTTTCAAAATAAAAAGCGGGCAGAATGACAATGTCCCCCAAATGCACATGGTCCCTTCTTTCAAGGAACTGGTGGAGGCAGACACAAATCACTATCTAATTATCTTTGTGATAAGTGCTACACAGGAGAGTGACTGCCTGCCATGAGATTTCATTACTAAGGGAACCTAACTCAGCAATGAATGGAGGCAGAGGGTGACAGGAAGGGCTTCCTGAGGGCTTCAAATAGGAAATGGGTAGGTGTGAAGGTGGGTGAGATCTCACATCTGCTACTGGGTTGGGAACATTTCATTTGCCAATTCACCCACTTTTATTTTCATTCATTCCTTCAGCACATATTCACTGGGCACTGATCGGCCAGGCCCCGTGCCAGGTGCTGAGGATATAGTGGTGGCCAAGGCACGCAGGAACTCTGCCCTCTCACAGCTTCCAGATGAAAGGCAGGAATAAGCCCTGTTTCCTTTTTACATCCTAAATCCTGGAAATGTGAGTGTTAGCGGTGTTCTTAATACAAAACTACATTATAGCAGAGTGATTTGTCTGTATCATCTAATGAGATTTTGATCTGCAGTCATGTGCATAGCATTTACTTTGTGGAGTCTCTGCTGTAAATTTTCTATTAATTGCTGGCTTTGTTACCAAGCATGGCCACTGCCTTTGTGTGCTATAAGGGAGCAAACCTATTGCATTAGCCTGAGCAAAGCCAATTAGGAAGATAAGTCCTCTGGAAAAAGGTATTCCCAAACTAAGTAGGGCTGATTTCTGGACTTGCCTGGGTTTTTGGATGATCAGAGCCATGGTTTAATATTAGCATGAACAATTGAGAAGGGCTTTTAGTTGCATGTACATTAAAACTACATTCAAGACAGATGAGGCCAGGTGCGGTGGCTCACGTCTGTAATCCCAGCACTTTGGGAGGCCGAGGCGGGCAGATCATGAGGTTAGGAGATCCAGACCATTCTGGCTAACACGGTGAAACCCCATCTCTACTAAAAATTAAAAAATTAGCCGGGCGTGGTGGCGGGTGCCTGTAGTCCCAGCTACTCTGGAGGCTGAAACAGGAGAATGGCGTGAACCCGGGAGGCGGAGCTTGCAGTGAGCCGAGATTGTGCCACTGCACTCCATCCTGGGCGACAGAGTGAGACTCCGTCTCAAAAAAGAAAAAAAAAAAAAGACAGATGAAAGAAAGAAAGAAGGAAAGAAGGAAAAAGAAGGAAAGAAGGAAAGCCATGGATATATATAACATGTTTCTTTCAACGATCTCGAAATGCTTCCATCTGTATGATTTCATTTTCCCCAATGGCTTCCTGGACAAGTATTACTGTTCCCTTTATTTAATGGGTGTAGGGAGACCAAGTTACTTAGTCCGAAGTGCTATTGCTGGTCAGTGGGTGATACGATTAAACACCCACCAGATGACACAGATTCCTTGTTTAAAAACACTTGTCTTTTCATGATGTTTCTAAGACATCAAAATCCTGCCATGACCTCTCTTCCCCCTCTTTTCACTACACTCCCTCAGCACTCCCATAGGGCCCAGGGAAGAGTATACTAGGGTGATTCGGAGACTCTCTGATATTAAAAAGATTCTCAGCTTAAATCCAATATAGCACAGTCACGGGTTGTGTGGGTTTTCTTTTTTATTTTTTCTTCTCCATATTGCTTTAAATAAAAATCTTGGAGCCACCAGCCATGTAATGATGGATTATTTTAAGTAACAACTGGAGTGGGGGGCGCAGAATAAATTAGAAACACAGACCCTTCCTCCTCAGTTTGGCAGGAGGAGGCTTCTGCTGCTGGGATTTGAAACCGTGGGTTTCTCTGCCGCCTGCACAGAGGAAGGAGGCCACATGCTCAGGAGGGTGAGAAATAATGTTATCCTCTTCTTCAGTGTCTTCTCATTAGAGGCAGCCATCTGCTGAATTATGCAGCGCGCTCTCAGCCGGCCCTTCCACTCACTTAAAGGTGACCAGGGAAAAGATCTGCAGGCCTTCTCAGCGAGAGGCCTCAGGGCTCAGGTTTCCCCTGCCATGGCCCTCTCTGACCCGGAATGAAGGCCCTGGGGTAACGGGGCAGAACTCTGTTTTCCTGGCCCTGATGAGGTGTGAGGTCGTGTTCGGTTTCCTTTCACATTGGAGGCCCCCAGCTCTGAACACTGGCGCTGAGGCAGGAACTGGGTTTTTTTCAGATCCCCATTAAACAAGACCAGATGGAGGCAGAGGCAAATTCAGGCTCCCCAGAGGGCAGTTGGGCATTCACCCAGAGGCCTGTGGGTAAACCTTTTCTTTTTTAGCAGATTGGAGGTAACAATAGCCAGAACACCTAGAAAACTCTCTTTCAATTGTCTGGCTTCCAGGGAATCTGGCTGGCTTTTGTGGGAAAGTTTCACTCACCCTGAGCAAGGGTCACCCCTGGCCTGAGGTGGGGATATTTGACCTAGACTTAGGCTTGTGTTAGTCTTGGGGTTCTTCAGCAGAACTGGGCAGCTGGCCAGGCTGAGACTTAGGCCGCAGTCAAAAGAGAGGGAAACAGGAGGAAAAAGTGGGGAAGTGAGTAGAGAGCAGGAACACACAATGAGTGCCTTCCACCGCATTGACTGCTTCAGTTGCCTTCTGTGGGCCAGAACCACCTTGGGGAGCTCACGGGTTTCCAGATTCGGTTCCTTGACCCTTCTGCCCCTGACCAGCATCAAGCCAGAAGCTCAATGTCCCGGAATTTTACCAGTCTAAAGAAACACATGTGCCACTTGAGTCAGCTTTTCCATTTGAGAGTGGCCGTTGGCTCGACAGGGGCCTGGATCCTAGCACTATTCTCTGTCACTAAATCAGTCTGTGACGTGAGCCAAGTCACTTCCTCTCTGTGAGTCTCTGTTTCCCCTTTTGTGAAACGAAAGGGCTGGATTAGGTGATCTTTAAGGGCGTTTCCAGCTCTAACATTGTATGGTGCTTATGTTTCCTTTTTCTCCAGCCTCATTTCTTTTAGGTCCTTGCCTGCGTCTGCTTCCGAATGAGGTGGCAGAATTGAACCCCACCCCTTCCCTGCTTTGACCCCTTGAGCTGGGTGGGGAGAGAGTCGTAGGGAAGGTCGATCTATGCTTTTAGCTCAGCAGGCTCTCGGTAAGTGGAACAGAAACAACCCTTCAGATATTGCCTGTCCATGTAGGTGTAGATAGCTATTGTCTTCCTATAAAGGTACATGACAGCTGAATGTTTGTCTATTGAATCCTGCTTTCAATGCAGTAGAAGAGCCGGCTACTTAATGGAATCCTGCTGTGAATCCTTTTATAGAATGAAAAGCCACTCTGGAATTTATCTTGTGTATTAAAATCAGTTTCATCTATTGGATTTGCCAAAAATGGGCCTCCTCCTCTGTCTGGTAAGGATAGTCTGTCTTGTGCTTCTTCAGCACAACTGCTCCCCAACTGAAGGGCATTTCTGAGGCCCCTTGGGGGTGCTGCCAGCTTTTGCAGGCCTTATTTCTCCTTAGAACAGCCCCCACATTTCTCTTTCCCAGGATAGGGCATTGCTACTACTCAGTTTCCTCTTAGCCTGGCTTAATTAGCATGAGGGACATTCTGATATTTGATGTGTTGGATGCATTTGAGAATTGTTTTTAAAACCTGTGGGAACTTGGCTGTGTGCGGGGGCTCACACCTGTAATCCCAGCACTTTAGGAGACTGAGGCGGGCGGATCACCTGAGGTTAGGAGTTCGAGACCAGCCTGGCCAATATGGCAAAACCCCGTCTCTTCTAAAAATACAAACATTAGCTGGATGTGGTGGTGGGCGCCTGTAATCCCAGCTACTCGGGAGGCTGAGGTAGGAGAATCACTTGAACCCTGGAGACGGAGGTTGCAATGAGCTGAGATCGTGCCACCGCACTCCAGCCTGAGAGAGACAGAGTGAGACTCCATCTCAGAAAAAAAAAAAAAAAAAAAAAACCTCTGGGAACTTATCAGTGCTTTTGTGGTTCTTATGACATAATACAGCGGCATCCTTGGCAGCATTGGAGGCAGCAGAGGAAGCTATCAGCTACCTGATTGTTTCATCAAGACTTTTTGCTACATGTTTCAGGATATATGATTTGACTTCTGGTTCACATGAATCATTATAATAAGAAATTATACTGTATGACAATAAGTTATATATATAATATGTAATAATAAGTTATAATAAGGGGGCTGGGCACAGTGGCTCACGCCTATATTCCCAGAACTTTGGGAGGCCGAGGCGAGTGGATCACCTGAAGTCAGGAGTTCTAGACCAGCCTGGCCAACATGGTGAAACCCCATCTCTACTAAACTAAAAATACAAAAATTAGCTGGGTGTGGTGGTACACACCTGTAATCCCAGCTACTCAGGAAGCTGAGGCAGGAGAATCGCTTGAAACCAGGAGGGAGAGGTTGCAGTGAGCTGAGATCGCGCCACTGCACTCCAGCCTGGTTGACAGAGTGAGACACTGTCTCAAAAAAAAAAAAAAAAAGAAGTTATAATAAGGAGACTAATAGGGTTTTATTGTATTTCTGGTAAAATAAATGTTTTATATACAATAAAACTGCCTGAAAGCTAAATGCTCTGATGACCCAAATTGTCAGGCACCTTTTTGGTTGTAGTTCAATATTTTTCTAAAATACCTGAGGCCACTTTCCTACCCAGGAAAGTATCATCATAGAATCTTTTTTAAAAAAGTAACATTTTCCCTGTTTATAAAAGTAAAATATGCCTATTGTAGAACATTTGGAAAACCCAGAAAAGCAACATCACCTACAACCTCTCTACCCAAAAGAAATCACTGACATTATTTTGGCATGTGTTCTTCTAATCTTTTAAAAAATGTGTATTTTCCCCCATCATTGGGATGACCCTGTGTATACAGGTTGGTTTTCCTGTTGTTGTTTGCCTTTGGTGAGCATTTCCTTTTGTCATTAAATATTCTTAGAAAACATTTTTCTCAGCTGCTTAATATTCCATCATGTATCACTGAACCGATGATTCATAGTCTTGGAGATTTGCACGGTCTTTCAGACATCAGTGTTCAGGGCTGAGAGTGGAAATGGAGAAAAGGGAGGTGTGAGAGCTTGGGCCCACCAGTAGGTGACTGAAGAGAGTCCGGTTTCAGTGTTTCTTTTCTTTCCTAGCATTTTTGTTGTTGTTGTTTGTTTGTTTGTTTTGAGACAGAGTCTCCCTCTGTTGCCCAGACTGGAGTGCAGTTGTGCGATCTCAGCTCATTGCAACCTCCGCCTCCTGCGTTCAAGCGATTCTCCTGCCTCAGCCTCCCAACTGGCTGGGACTACAGGCATGAGCCACCAAGCCTGGCTAATTTTTGTATTTTCAGTAGAGACGGGTTTTCCCAGTGTTGGCCAGGCTGGTTTCGAATTCCTGGCCCCAAGTAATCTGCCCGCCTTGGCCTCCCAAAGTGCTGGGATTACAGGCATGAGCCACCGTACCTGGCCGCTTTCCTAGTATTTGGATGGGAATGGCCAGAGGAGAAAGTTTAGGGACAGCCTAGTCATCAGCAATGAGTTTCAAACTTTTTGCTTTTATTCTTTAGAATGACAGCTACTAATTTAGCCACCCTGGTTTGAAACAGAGGCGGGAAATTCTCCATTGACACAGATGCACCCTCAGTTCCCAGAGGCCTCAAATACGGCTTGCTTACTATCACAGAGGTTGGAAGAGGGGCCAAGGGGAGTGGGGGACAGAGGTGGCCTACTCGGGTGCTTAAGGGACTCTTTATTTTCAGTAACAGCAATGAGAGAAAGATGCGCAGCTGGAACCACCATAACTTGTTCTTGATAATATGAACCTTACGAATATTCAATTAAAAAACGAAATTGGTGTGTCCTCAGGAGAGGAGGCAGAAGAGAAAGAGAGCAGTGTTTCTGCCTGTGATATGAAATGTGGTATAACGTATTTAAAAACCACAGGTGACTGCAGATGAGGAGAAAACAGGAAATGTAATTGGGGAGGGGAGTGGGGCGCTCTCCCAGTTCTCAGGAGCACTCTTTCATTTTGCCTTCCTTTTAGCTCCTCTCAGACTCTCTGCATCCTAATTACCCCTGCTGCAAAGCTGAGTGAGAACTCTTCTTTCTTATATTAAAAATGTTTTAAAATTACATGGGTAACATGCGAATACATTCGTGCTATAAAAGAGTCAAACAATAGGGAAGCATACCGACTACTCCCTTGACTGAGCCCCTATTTCCATCCCCCTCCCCTGAGGTAGCTACGATTGTGGGTTTGGTGGCTGTATTTTCAGTCTTCTTTCTATGCATCCACATACATTTACGTGCAAATACACATCTACAGGGCTTCTGGGGCATATATGGGCTCATATTGTGCTTATAGTTTACAACTTCTATTTTCTTTTTTTTTTCTTTCTTTTTTTTGAGACAGGGTCTCACTGTTGCCCAGGCTGGAGTGCAGTGGCACAATCTTGGCCCACTACATCCTCGACCTACCGGGCTCAAGCAATCCTCCCACATCAGCCTCCTGGGTAGCTGGGACTACAGGTGTGTGCTAACACACTTGGCTAATTTTTGTATTTTTTGTAGAGACGGGATTCTGCTGTGTTGCCCAGGTTGGTCTCAAACTCCTGGGCTCAAGCGAGCCACCTGCCTCGACCTCCCAAAATGCTGGGATTACAGTCATGTAATAACTTCCATTTTCTTCTATTTTATTACAGTCGCCCTATAACTTCTGTTTTCTGTTTTATAATATGTCTTGGAGATACTCACATCAGTACATACAGAACTACCCACATGCTTCTTAATGGATGTAGAATATTCCAGAATATGCGTGTACCATAATTTGGTTAAATATTTTCCTATTGTTGGACATTTAGGTTGGGTTTTTTTTTTCAGCATTATAAACTGTGCTGTAATAAATTTCCTTGTAATAGATCTTTGTACAGATTCTGAGAGGAGGTTGCAGGGTTATGAGAGAAGTGCAATTTAAAATGGTGACTTTGGCCATTCCAGCATCTCAGTTCAGGCCTTCAGTATGGTAATATGGCACCACCTGCTACTAAAGATGAAAACTTGAGATTTACTGTCAGACATGCTGGGCCAAGTTGCCGGTTCCATCTCCTCTCGTGCACATTGTAGTCAAGGAACATTCAATTAACTGCAATCAAAGTAATCAGGCCCTCAATTAATCAGGCCACCTTAAGGAGAAAGAGGAAAGAGATAAGATATCAGAGATTTAGTGAGAGAGGAGGGGAGAAACTTCCAGGGGCTGTGCTGGGGTCAGTGTACATTCAGTTCAATGTTGTGTCCTTCTGTCCTTCCTACCTTTGCGTATTTAACTCTGAACAATGCGGACTGATACTCATAATGATGACCTTGACATCTTATAAGATTCATCAAAGCAAGGGTGCATAGTGTTTGCCAGACAGGATTTCCTAAAGTAGGAACTATACAAATACATTTTTTTTTTTTTTTTGAGACAGAGTCTTACTCTGTCGCCCAGCCTGGAGTGCAGTGGCGTGATCTCGGCTCAATGCAACCTCTGCCTCCCGGGTTCAGGTGATTCTCCTAACTCAGCCTCCCGAGTGGCTGGGACTACAGGCATCTGCCACCGCGCCCAGCCAATTTTTGTATTTTTAGTAGAGACGGGGTTTCACCATGTTGGCAAGGCTGGTCTTAAACTCCTGACCTCATGATCCACCCGCCTCGGCCTCCCAAAGTGCTGGGATTACAGGCGTGAGCCATCGTGCCTGGCCACAAATACATTTTTGAAGCTTTCTTAGCTACAGGGATTGAGACAAAAAGTTTGCTGCTTAAATCCCAGTTAGCAAGAAAAACACATTGACCAGGTTCTATGTCCCTTCTTTCCCAAACTCCTCAGTTAATTTAGGTGTATTGGACACTGGGTAACAGATACAAAAGAAATAAGGATTCTAAAAGTCACCAGTGGCTGGGCATGGTGGCTCACTCCTGTAATCCCAGCACTTTGGGAGGCCGAGGTGGCCGGATCATTTGAGGTCAGGAGTTCAAGACCAGCCTGGCCAACAAGGTGAAACCCCGTCTCTACTAAAAATACAAAAATTACCTGGGCGTGGTGGTGCACACCTGTAGTCCCAGCTACTCCGGAGGCTGAGGCAGGAGAATCGCTTGAACCCATGGGCCGAGATTGTGCCACTGCACTCCAGCCTGGACAACAAGAGAGAAACTCCATCTCTAATAAATAAATAAATAAATAAATAAATAAATAAATAAATAAATAAAATTAAGAGTGTTTATCTCTGGAGAGTGATATTATGGTTGATTTTGATTTTCTTCTTTATTATTATCTGTATGTTCTAAAATTTCTACAGTGAACATTGATTACTTCCACAAAATAAAAAATCTGATAAATGTAATTTTTTTAGTAACAGCTAATTTAAAATCAGTCTCCTCATCGTCCCCATTAAACAGGCATCTTTTCCTGGCTTTCCTATGTGTCTCCATGGTGCTGTCAATCCAAGCTCCCGGGCTTAGACCCTTGCGATTGTTCTCTCTGCCCAATCACTCCTTGAGGCTCATCCCTTCTTTTTTAATTAATTAATGTATTTATTTTTGAGACGGAGTCTCTCTCTGTCCCCCAGGCTGGCTGGAGTGCAGTGGCGCAATCTCGGCTCACTGCAAACTCCGCCTCCTGGGTTCAAGTGATTCTCCTGCCTCTCAGCCTCCTGAGTGGCTGGGATTACAGGCTCCCGCCACCACGCCCGGCTAATTTTTGTATTTTTAGTAGAGATGGGGTTTCACCATGTTGGCCAGGCTGGTTTTGAACTCCTGACCTCGTGATCCGCCTGCCTCAGCCTCCCAAAGTGCTGGGATTACAGGCGTGAGCCACTGCTCCCGGCAGAGGCTCATCCCTTCTTAAGACATCTCTCAAATTTGTTCCTTCTCTTTGAGTCCCAAGTCAGGTCAGTTCACACCAACCAGCATTTATTGTCACAGTGCCTGGATGTCACTCTGCTGGCTCAACATTATTGGAGTCATCTCCTCCTATGTCTTCCTGCTCCTAGTCTCTCTGTCCATCCAATCAAGCAAACACCCTGCAGCTGGAGTGATCTTTTAAAAACACTCCCTGTATCATGGCCCTCCCTGCTCAAATCACTCAAAATCCCCCAAATCCCATTGCTTAGGAAATGAAGTCCATACTTCTGCTTCTTAGGGCTTAAAAAATTATTTCTTTTGGGCCAGGCATGGTGGCTCATGCCTGTAATCCCAGCACTTTGGGAGGCCAAGGTGGGTGGATCACCTGAGGTCAGTAGTTCAAGACCAGCCTGGCCAACATGGCAAAACCCCATCTCTACTAAAATATACAAAAAATTAGCCGGGTGCGGTGGTGGGCACCCAGCTACTCGGGAGGCTGAGGCAGGAGAATCGCTTGAACCTGGGAGGCGGAAGTTGCAGTGAGCTGAGATCGCGCCACTGCACTCTAGCCTGGGAGACAGGGAGAGACTCCTTATCAAAAAAAAAGGAAAGAAAAGAAAATTTTTTCTTCTGCCGTTTAGGGCTCTTTACAGCACTGTCTTCAGTTTGAAAATTCATTTCCTCTCCTTTTGACTTTGGAGCACTTGAAGCTTCATGGTGCTGAATTTGTTGGAGGCCGGAAGAGGCAGCCAGGGGTGATAACAAATGGCTCAGGAAACCTCAACTCTGAGTCCACCTCAATTTCCGATGCCTGCTACATCGGAGGCTCCGTAAAGAAAGCATATCAGTTCTCATGTCCCTGACTCCCCTGCAGCGTTGCGGACCAAGAACTAGCAGTGGGAATCTTGCATCTTACTTTGTTTGCTTTAATAAAGAGAAGGGGAAATGAGAAGGAGAAGCAGAAAGGGGTGAACGTAGAACAAAGCCTTGAGTGATGTGAACCACTCATGAGGCTCAGCTGTCTTTATTTATTTTTTTTTTTTTGAGACGGAGTCTCGCTCTGTCGCCCAGGCTGGGTGCAGTGGCGCGATCTCGGCTCACTGCAAGCTCAGCCTCCCAGGTTCACGCCATTCTCCTGCCTCAGCCTCCTGAGTAGCTGGGACTACAGGCGCCCGCCACCACGCCCGGCTAATTTTTTGTATTTTTAGTAGAGACGGGGTTTCACCGTGTTAGCCAGGATGGTCTCCATCTCCTGACCTCGTGATCCGCCCACCTCGGCCTCCCAAAGTGCTGAGATTACAGGCATGAGCCACCGCGCCCGGCCGAGACAGTGTCTTGCTCTGTTACCCAGGCTGGAGTGCAATGGCGAGATCATGGCTCACTGCAGCCTCGACCTCCTGGGCTCAGGTGATCCTCCCACCTCAGCCTGCTGAGTAGCTGAGACCACAGGCTCACGACACCATGCCCGGCTCATTTTTGTATTTTTCTTGTTGTTGAGATGGGGTTTTGCCATTGTTGCTCAGTCTGGTCTCAAACTCCTGGGCTCAAGAGATCCGCCCACTTCGGCCTCCCCAAGTGCTGCGATTGCAGGTGCGAGCCACTGCACCCAGCCTCAGGTGTCTTCAGGGGACCCCCTGGGGCAGAGAATACACCAACTCTCACTGAATGATGGCATATGGTTGTCTGTTAAGAGTTCTCCACTGGGAGGGTGTGGGGTGAGATGTGTGAGGGTAATGAACTTGCCACATGGCATTCACCGGCACTAGCCCTGTCGCTTGCCCTCACAGGATCTAGTGACACCGATGGGAGTGAGATCTAAAGCTGTGTGAAGGGGCTATCTGGGAGCCGGTTCTGACAAAGTTGGCTGCTGAGAGGCTCCACCACCCTCACACCCCACCCCTTTCAGTGTGAAAATGTGCCCTTATTATGGACCTAGTCTAAAAGGTGGTCCAGCCCAACAGAAGAGCTGCCTGCTTAGTGCAGCCTGTGATGCTGGGCTGGGCCTCCTGGCACTAACCGTGCCCTTCTTGGACTGCTCTTGGCATCTTTCTAGTTATGGAAAGCTTGGTGCAGCCCCACCCAACAGAAACTGACTCCTTACATAGTACTCCCTTCTTGTCTAGCTCAGCTGTCTCAAGCTCCCTTCTCCCCTGTCCCCTCCCCTCCCCTGTGGCCGTTGGTTGGTATTTGGCACATTTCTTGAGTCCACGCTCCACGCAGGCCCCTTTTATGCTTCCCCCTGGCTCCTTGGAATCCTGTTCCAGTTTGAGTCTCCTCCTGTTTTGTAAAATCATTAACTATAAGCAGCTTTGGGCCTTGCAGGCGAAGCAAAGGCCCTCTGCTTTCCAGGGCTGGGAGTGGCTTGGCTGACCCTTAGGGAGTCAAGGGACCCAGAGGAAGCACGGAGGCAGCTTCTTGTAGCCATAGGGAGCCACAGTGTTCCATGCAGTACCCTTCAGGCTGGGGGTGTAAGGATAACCCCACAGTGAATAACAACAGCAGCTACTGCTGATTGAATGCTCACCACATGCTAGGCACTACGCTAAGGGCTTGAGGAGCATGATCCTGTATAATCCTCACACTCCTACTCAATAGTTTCCGATTTTATGGATGGGGAAAACTTAAGAAGTTTATGTAACTTGTCTGAGGGTGACACAGCCAGGAGATGGTGGAGATGGGGCTGTAACTAACACCTGCCAGATTTCAAAGCCTCTACTCTTAACCTCTACACTACACTGCCTTTGTAGGTCCTCAAAATGCTCTAGAGAGAGAGGAACAATTGCTTTTTTTTTAAGACAGGATCTTGCTCTCTCACCTGGGCGGGAGTGCAGTGGTGCCATCATAGCGCACTGCAGCCTCTACCTCCTGGACACAAGCAATCCTCCCGCCTCAGCCTCCCAAGTAGCTGGGACTACACAGGCACATGCCACCATGCCCAGCTAATTTTTGATTTTTTGTAGAGATGTTGTCTCACTGTGTTGCCCAGGCTGGTCTCAAACTCTTGGCCTCAAGTGATCCACCCACCTTGGCCTCCCAAAGTGTTGGGATTACAGGTGTGAGACATTTCGCCAGCCAATAATTGATTTTTTTTTTTTTTTGAGACAGAGTTTCGCTCTTATTGCCCAGGCTGTAGTGCAGTGGCGTGATCTCGGCTCACTGCAGCCTACACCTCCCGGGTTCAAGCAATTCTCCTGCCTCAGTCTCCCAAGTAGCTGGGATTATAGGCACCCACCACCATGCCTGGCTAATTTTTGTTTTTTTTGGTAGAGACAGGGTTTCGCCACGTTGGCCAGGCTGGTGTTGAACTCCTGACCTCAAGTGATCCCCCCCGCCTTGGCCTCCCAAAGTGCTGGGATTACAGGTGTGAGCCACTGAACCCGGCCCAATAATTGCTTTTTAAACCCTTTTCGTAATACTTACTGAATACTTCTGCATATACTAAGCTCGTTACATGTATTAGCGTTTCTGAGGCTCCCAGTCACCTCTAAGATATGCCATATTATCTCAGATGGCAGATGTGGAAGGAAACAGTCTCAGCAAGTTACTCAGCTTGTAAATGACTGAGTGGAGATTTAACCTGAGTCTGTGAATCTCGGTGCCAGCATTCTCCTCCCCTGACTCCACTCTCCTGCCCCTAATAAGCTCCTCTGTAATTTTCTCTGGAGCTGTGGCGACATTCACTATTGAGCCTAGAGGATGCCTGTCCCCAAGAATCTGTGATTTCCAAGCTGACGGGCCATTTTGCTTTGGAGCAGGGAGTAGCTGAGGGAAGAGATGACACACTGGGCCTGGGCGGGTGTGACTTCCTTGCACAGCGAACATTTGGATGGAGAAGCGAGACCCAGACTGCTTTTAAGCACATTTTCATTTTCTCCCTCACTCCTTCCAAATTAGGGTGAAGGTTGCCGAACTGTCCCCCTGGCTGGACATGTGGGGTTTGACAGCTTGCCTGACCAGCTGGTGAATAAGTCCGTCAGCCAGGGCTTCTGCTTCAACATCCTGTGCGTGGGTGAGTATTTCCATAGCAGGAAATTCTATTACAGAATATGGATCCTTAATGGCTGGATACGGCTTTGCAGGTAATTAGGTTAAATAGTGTGTCATTCTGATTTAGTTGCGAGAGTGTCTCTCCCCTCTTCTTTTATCTCTCTGCCTGTTTTTTGTAAACAGCTGGCTGTAATTACTTTTTTCCCCTGGCCAGATCAGAGTATAGGGCCATATCTTGGGGGGAAACTGAGCTATGTGAGACCCAGTGGAAATTCTGTAAGGGAGCTGGCTGGCTCAGTATGGCTGTAGAGTTCATTTTGACTACAGAAGACAGGATCCAGGGCAGAATTGGGAGGGAGGGGATAGCTGACAAAAAACGCCTGCCCACCAGCTGTGGGCAGTGGGTTGGGTCTGTTTCCTCTGTAGTTTTGCTGTGCTTGGTTTAGTTTGAGCTCGGGTGCAGGCACCACACAGCTGTATGCAACATTCTTTTATTCCCTTTACCTATCTCTCTGCCTAGACTTTTTTTTTTTTGAGATGGGGGTCTCACTATGTTGCCCAGGCTGGTCTTGAACTCCTGAGCTCAAGCAATCCACCCATCTTGGCCTCCCAAAGTGCTAGGATTACAGGTGTGAGCCACTGTGCCCGGCCTCTACCTAGACATTTAATCTCAACAGTGGGAGCTGCATCTTAGCCCCCTCTATTTGCTAATCACAGCACAAGTAGAGTGCGGTAATATCTGTGAAATGAATGAATGGGTGAATGCCACAGGAACCATTCATTATACTTTTCACTTTCTCACATTAGCTCTTTTGGACATTACCAGGACTCTGCGAAGTGAGCAGAGCAAGTAGCATTTGTATCCTCATGAAACAGGTGGAGACACAGAGTCTTGGGGAGGATAAGGGACTTACCTGAGGCAACACAGAAGAAGTGGCACCATAATGAGGACTCAGGCCTGGTTGACCCCTTGTTCCTCCCCCTGCTTCTCTAACTGCTGCCAGCAATATCTCTTGAGCACATGAAAGCACTTTGGAAACCACTGAGCACCAATCAAACAAATATGAGGGATAACGGTTCCTTCTTCAAGAATATCTTCGGCCGGGCACGGTGGCTCACGCCTGTAATCCCAGCACTTTGGGAGGCCGAGGCCGGTGGATCACGAGGTCAGAAGATCGAGACCATCCTGGCTAACACGGTGAAACCCCGTCTCTACTAAAAATACAAAAACAAAATTAGCCGGGCACGGTGGCGGGCGCCTGTAGTCCCAGCTACTTGGGAGGCTGAGGCAGGAGAATGGCGTGAACCTGGGAGGCAGAGCTTCCAGTGAGCTCAGATCGCGCCACTGCACTCCAGCCTGGACGACAGAGTAAGACTCTGTCTCAAAAAAAAAAAAAGAATCTTCTTAGATCTTAAATATCTCAAATTTGCAAACATGATCATAGCATATAATTTTCACCCTGTAACACGGGAAAGCATACCTGCATATTTCCAGTGACCTTCTGAACCTTAATGATTATATAAATACCAGAATAAAGTCTGTTTTTGTACTGGCTGAAACACTCAAACACTTTTGCTAATTGCCTTTTATTTTTGTATAGAGCGTATGGGGAACTTGTTCATGTAGTAGATCTGAACTACTACTAAATTGGATATTTTACACTTTAATGTATTCAGAAATTCTGTTTTTTCTTTCTTTTCTTTTCTTTCTTTCTTTTTTTTTTTTTTTTTTTTGAGACAGAGTCTTGTGCTGTCACCCAGACTGGAGTGCAGTGGCGTGATATCAGCTCACTGCAACCTCCACCTTCCGGGTTCAAGCGATTCTCCTGCCTCAGCCTCCTGAGTACCTGGGACTATAGGTGCACGCCACACACCCAGCTAATTTCTGTATTTTTAGTAGAGACGGAGTTTCAATTCCTGACCTCAAGTGATCCGCCCACCTCGGCCTCCCAAACTTCTGGGATTACAGGCATGAGCCACCGCGCCCAGCCTAGAAATTCTGTTTTCTCACTAAGGTCATTCATTTTCTTGGGCTCTTTATCATTTTTTTTCCTCTATCCCCAGCATTCTTTTCCAGGTCACTTTTTGTAAGAGAATTGCTACACATTCAAGGACAAGTAGAGAACAACAGATGACGGGCAGTTGTTCCCACAAGCTAGGCTCACTCCCTAGCTAAATGGCTCACTCCCACACACCAACTTTGGTTTTGTTGTCGTTGTTGTTTGAGACAAAGTGTCCCTGTGTCACCCAGGCTGGAGTGCAGAGGCTCACTGCAGCCTCAACCTCCCAGGCTCAAGCATTCCTCCCACCTCAGCCTCCAAAGTAGCTGGGATTACAGGCATGCGACCGGGCTCATTTTTTTCGTAGAGATGAGGTGAGGTCTCACTGTGTTGCCCAGGCTGTTCTTGAACTCCTAAGCTCAAGCGATCCACTTGCCTCAGCCTACCAAAGTGCTGAGATTACAGGCATTAGCCACTATGCCTGGCCCACATCAACTTTGGAACCTATCAGATGAAAATATGTGCTTCAGTTTCAATCCACAGATTTATACTCAAACTTATTTTTAAGATGTGACTTCTACTATGCATGTCCTTGTTCATAGGGAGAGAAATATACCTGGAGGCATTAGTGAATAAAACAGTACATTAAAAAAAAGAAAATATGTGCTTCACAGAATTACACATCGAGGGCCTTAGAGTCCAGATCTAGGCTGTTAATTCTTCAAATGCTGAAAGTCTAACTGATGGTTATGATTAGGTGCTATTTGGAGAAAAATGTAAAATAACTAGAAGTCACAGTAATCGACATCAAGTGCAAAGACTATCACATCCAATGTTAGCACTGCCAAATCTCTGTTTAACTAACAAGAGCTCCAATCTTTGGCTGATGGCCAACTTATTTCACATAATATTTGATTACCACAATATTTAAGCACAAACATATCAGAGTCCCTTGGCATTCTTCCCAGAACTCCATATGACCTGTACTGAAGTTGAGATGAGAAGAGAAATGACAGATCCACCTTAAGCAACCTTTCAACCAGTGCGATTGGGTGGGCTAGTAAAGCTTTAGGAGGGAGGCCATGTGAATTGAAATGGATCTCTGAGGGTGGAAGTGTAGGGTAATTTGATATGTGGAGCACAGGCTCCCCTAGGGCCCAGAGGCAGCCAAGCTCAAGGCAAAGTGGATGGGAGAAATAGTAATCCCCCATCCTCTAGTTTCCACCTAGACATTGTACAGCTATAAATGCTTCCACTTGCACCTGCTGGGATGGAATTGCTCAAGTACCCAGCACAGACCCTCCAAGAGGGGAGGAGTAGGAAGGAGATGCTCTCATCCTCAAGAGTCACAGACTCTCTTTTGCTCCCCACTTGTCAAGTTTCAGGAAATGGCTGCCTCTGTAGCTCCTGTCTTAGACTCACAGGTGCAACCATTGGATAGGCCAGCCCCGACTGGGTTAATTTCACCCCTGTTCCAAAAAACCCTGCAATGCACGCATCCTGCCCTCTTGCTGTGCTCACCACCCTGTCCTTGCTCAGAGAACCCACAATTTGGGCCAAGGTCATAAGTAGCTTAGAGTAGCTCTGAAGCTGCAATGTCAGCCCAGCCATGAGGCTGGATCCAGTCACTGACTTCGCAAAGGGTCCATAGCTTAGCTGCTGAAGGTGATCTTTTATCTTGCAGAGCTTTTTGTGATGATAGTTCATGCCTACTGCCTGTGTACATTTACTCCCTTAATGACTGTTATAACAAGATGCTGTTTGGGCATAGAATATATTTCCCCAAAGTATTTTCTTTTCTTTTCTTTTGAGACACAGTCTTGTTCTATTGCCCAGGCTGGAGTGCTGTGGCGTGATCACAGCTTACTGCAGCCTCAACCTCCCAGGCTCAAGCAATCCTCCCACCTCAGCCTCCTGAGTAGCTGGGACTACAGGCACATGCCACCATGCCTGGCTAATTTTTTTTTAATTAAAATTATTGTGTAGAGGGCCAGGCGCGGTGGCTCACGCCTGTAATCCCAGCACTTTGGGAGGCCGAGGTGGGCGGATCATGAGGTCAGGAGATCGAGACCATCCTGGCTAACACGGTGAAACCCCGTCTCTACTAAAAATACAAAAAAGTTAGCCAGGCGTGGTGGCGGGCGCCTGTAGTCCCAGCTACTCAGGAGGCTGAGGCAGGAGAATGGCGTGAACCCGGGAGGCGGAGCTTACAGTGAGCGGAGGTCACGCCACTGCACTCCAGCCTGGGTGACAGAGTGAGATTCCGTCTCAAAAAAAAAAAAAAACTTATTGTGTAGAGATGAGGTCTCACTATGTTGCCCAGGCTGGTCCCTAACTCCTGGGCTCAAGCAGTCCTCCCTACTTGGCCTCCCAAAGTCCTGGAATTATGGGCATGAGCCACCATACCCAAACGTTTCTTTTTCTTGATAGGGCATTTTTGGTGTAAAATTATGGTAGCACTAGCTTCAATTATTAACAAAGACCTAGGATATTTTTTCACACTATTGTTTATCTTGGTGCTGGGCTGCCGATCATAGGCCTACATCCAGCAAGGTATCCTACATGCATGTGTGCATGTGTGTACA
Source organism: Homo sapiens (assembly GCF_000001405.40). Lineage (NCBI taxonomy): Eukaryota > Metazoa > Chordata > Mammalia > Primates > Hominidae > Homo > Homo sapiens. The sequence continues at coordinate 121,992 of NW_025791817.1, read as the reverse complement.
TCTGTGCACATATGTGTGTTGCAACTAAGAGAGAGCATTTTTTTTTTTTTTTGAGATGGAGTTTCGCTCTTGTCACCCAGGCTGGAGTGCGATGGCACGATCTTGGCGCACCAAAACCTCCACCTCCCGGGTTCAAGCAATTCTCCTGCCTCAGCCTCCTGAGTAGCTGAGATTATGGGCGTGCACCACCACACCCAGCTAATTTTGTATTTTTAGTAGAGACGGGGTTTCTCCATGTTGGTCAGGCTGGTCTCAAACTCCCAACCTCAGGTGATCTGCCTGCCTCGGCCTCCCAAAATGCTGGGATTGTAGGTGTGAGCCACTGCGTCCGGCCGAGAATTTTTGATAATCCAGAACCTAATTTATAGTAAGGATACCAATAAACGGCACCTGCAATTCTTCTTCTTCTTCTTTTTTTTTTTTTTTTTTTGAGACAGAGTCTCACTCTGTCACCCAGGCTGCAGTGGAGTGGCACTATCTCTGCTAACTGCAACCTCCATCTCCCAGGTTCAAGTGATTCTCATGCTTCAGCCTCCCTAGTACTTGGGATCACAGGTGCGCACCACCATGCCCAGCTGATTTATTTTGTATTTTTAGTAGAGACAGGGTCTCACCATGTTGGCCAGGCTGGTCTCGAACTCTTGACCTCAAGTGATCCGCCCACCTGGACCTCCCAAAATGCTGGGATTATAGGCATGAGCCACCACACCTGGCCTATTATTCTTTTTAGAGGACTAGGCACATGAGTGTGAACATATTATGACTCCTCTCCAATATATTCTCTAGGGTTGACCATAATTACCGAAGAGGTGAGGTTCCTCTTTCTCCCCATAAAAACACATATACTAGTCCCTTAGCTTTGGAAATTTCAAGGATCCCCTGATCCTAGATGCAGTACAGAATGCCTCAGAGGAACCACCAGAGCCAACAGTACAAATATTCTGGGGCCCGTTGCTTTGCACTCCTGGGAACAAGCCCCAAAGAGACTCATCCATCTAAATGCTACAGTAGCAGTCATGGCTGTGAAGAGCACAAAGGGTCATAATGATAATATTTACTTTGAAGCTGCTCAGGATTCCAGGCTCAATTGGGCTCTGTTGAACATGGAAAAAAACAGTCACACAAGAGAAGCAGGATTGAGGCTTGCTGCAGGAGGAGGGAAAGGGCAGCTAGCATTCTATCAAGGCCAAGGATCAATTGTTTCATCCCTTCATATCTGGGAAAGGCAGCTGCTTATTTGTCTAAAACAGGCTGCCAGCAGTGGTGTGCTGGTCAACGTCACAGCCCATCTCAGGAGAAAAACTGTTGTGGTTTGAAGCATCTGCTGATTTTGTTGGTGTCATTACTCCTGCCATGGCTGCTGTTAAGCTACCAACATGACATCACTGCACGTGGGCTTGGGAAGAGATGCAGGAAGCGGACGAGCCGGCTCCAGCACACCACTGCCTGCCAGGCCTCTGCAAGATCAGGAAGGAGAAAGGACAAGGTCACAGAGCCAGGCATAACCTTGTCCCTTTCCATAGGCTTCCTTAGCCAACCGGAGTTCCTGGAATGTTTCCTTTTGGGCACCTCCCTGTTGAACTCAGAGACGTTTCTCTGGGTTCAACATTCAGAACTGGAAGAGACTTTAGGTCCACAAGAACAGGGATTGTGGCTATCTTGTTCATTGCTGTATCTGCAGCTCCTATAACTGTGCCTGGCTCCTGTTAGAGTCTTTGTAAATACTCGTTGAATGACTGAATGAACAAACGTATCACGCCTATGCGTCTCGCTAGAGCACATTGGTTAAAAGCATGGACTCCAGCGTCGGCCTGCCTGGATTCAAATGCTGGCTCTGCCACTTACTAGTTTGTGACCTTGGACTAGTTACTTCTTCCACATTTTATTTTATTATTACTAGTTTTCAAAATAGACCTATTATGCTAAGTGAAGTAACTCAGGAATGGAAAACCGAACATTGTATGTTCTCACTCATAAGTGGGAGCCAAGCTATAAGGATGCAAAGGCATAAGAATAACACAATGGACTTTGGGGACTCAGGGGGAAAGGGCGGGAAGGGGGTGAGGAATAAAAGACTACAAATTGGGTTCAGTGTATACTGCTCAGGAGATGGGTGCATCAAAATCTCACAAATCACCACTAAAGAACTTACTCATATAACCAAATACCACCTGTCCCCAAAAACCTATGGAAATAAAAAATAAAACAGAGACAGGGTCTATGTTGGTCAGGCTGGTCTCGAATTCCTGGCCTCAACTGATCCTCCTGCTTCAACCTCCCAAAGTGCTGGGATTACAGGCATGAGCCACTGCGCCCGGCCCCTCCACATTTTATAGATGAGGAAAGTAAGGTGCAGAGATGCTGAGGAACTGGTGCAAATTTACACAGCTAGTAAGTGGCTTGGTTAACCCATCTATAAATTGAGGACAAATAGTAACATCTTCCTCATGGGCTTGCTGTGAGGAATAAATAAGAAAATATATGTAAAAAACTTAGAGCAGTGTCTGTAAACAATAGCTGTTATTACCAACGCTCTCATTTTATAGAAAAAGAGACTGGGACCCAGAGAGGGGAAAGAGCTCAGTTCATGTCACAAAGTAACTTAGTGATAACCTGGCTAGAAGTCTTTTCTTTTTCTTTCTCTGTCTCTCTCTCTGTCTCTCTCTCTCTCTCTCTCTGTCTTTCCTTTCTTTCTTAGACAGGATCTCGCTCTGTCGCCCAGGCTGGAGTGTGGTGGTGAGATCTCTGCTCACTGCAACCTCCGCCTCCCGGGTTCAAACGATTCTCCACCCTCAGCCTCCTGAGTAGCTGGGATTACAGGAGCCTGCCACCATGCACGGCTAATTTTTGTATTTTTAGTAGAGACGGGATTTCACCATGTTAGCCAGGCTGGTCTCCAACTCCTGACCTCAGGTGATCTACCCGCCTCGACCTCCCAAAGTGCTGGGATTACAGGCCTGAGCCACCGTCCCGCAAGAGCATAGTTTGAAAAAAAACATATTTCGTAGTACTCATATATGTTTTAATTTTTTTTAAAACTATTGTTTCCAGAATACTATCTACATTAAGCAAAGTGAGATGAAATCCTCTTGGCTGGTGGAGCATGCGTTAAAAACCTTACTATCCACTTGGAGGAGCCCTGGGAGGGCTGGGGGAGGAGGAGTGAGAAATTGACCCCTCGGGACTCCTCAGGTTTCCTGCTGGAATCGAATTGCCAAGTCTCCACCTTCCTGCAGGGGTGTGGAATCTGCTGACCTGATCCCAGTTAGGTCACGTGTGCCTCCCCCTCACAACACACTCACACTCAGTACTGGGCCCAGGGCAGCCGTGGGAGGGGCAGCATCCTAGGATCAGGCTGGGTCTGTGCCAGTCATTGACAGAAAGCCTCCCCGACCCCCAGGCTCTACACTGATGGAAAACTGGAACAGGAGCTCTCGATAGCCATAGGATGAGCTCGCTTGATTTTCTGCCCTCTCTACTATTGCATTTATCTCAATTCCCTAGACACCCGGGTGTTCTTTTCTTCCAGACGTTCATTATTTGGCATCTAATTTCCACAGCGCTTTTGTGCCAGCAGGCATTTGGGTGGTCATTTCTCCTGCTGTTCCTCCCAGCTCCCTGTCCTGCCCTGCCCGGCCCCCATTCCTCCAGCTGTGCAAACAGGGTGGGTCCCTCAACGCTGCGGTGCTGCCCCTGAGGCCTTCTGTGTGAACCTTGGGTTAGGCACTCTCGGGGGTACTGGAAGATGGCCCATCTCCTGCTCTCTGAGAATTCTTAGGATCGGGGAGCCAGGGTGCCCACTCTGGGTGCTGGGGAAACAGGACCCCCACTCCCTAGGAGCTACAGGGCATTCGGCAGGGAGCTCATGCAACAGAAGGGTTTTGGGAGTTGGGGGTAAGGATGGTTCTGTTCCATGTGCTCCCTTCTGTTCCATGGGAGGGAGTTGGGGGTAAGGATGTACATGGAAAATTCATCAGGCACATAGGAAGATGAGCTAAACTGTAGCTCAAACCTCAGTGCCCTCGAGAGGGGAGGTGAGTTAGGATGTGGGAGCCACACTGTGTTCCCACCTCCAAGGTGCTGGCCCCGTTTGCAGTTAAGGTGCACCCCAACTTTGGGTGAGGTGGGGTGTGATACATTCCACTGCTTGGCCAAGTCTGCCACCTCCCATGGCAAAGGCCCCACCTCATAAAATTCTTCTTGGGACCCAAATACTTCCTGTTCCTTTAGGGGAGGAAAAAGGGGGCCTCTTCTTCAAGAGTCTTTGCTGCTAATGGATATAGCAGACCCTGGCTTGAAACATGATCTGTGTGAGGAACCATTTCCCCACACTCTGGCAATTTACCAAGTTAGTCAGACCTGGCTATGAAATTGGGCTGGGGGGCCGGGTAGCCAGACTGAATTGAATGTTCTCCTTGTTCTCCCTCCCTCTCCCTGTCTCCCTCCTCTCTCTTATCTCTTCTCTCTCTCTCCCTTCTCTCTGTCCACACACAGAAAACTCTCATCATACACAGATATTTTAAAAGGCACCTCCTGCATTCATAGCTCATTATTTGGGATAAAAGAAGCAGGCTAGACACACCCAGAGTGGGGAGGGGAGATGGAGCATTTTCAGTTCTGCATCATGTAGCTCTAACCGTAGCCCTGAACCACCCTGCAGATGTGTGCTTTTGGTCGCAAGGCGGGGTTTGGCAGGCCACAATTTGCCCAATGCAAACCCAGTCCCGACTGTGAAGAGAAGTCGAGGCTCACATTCCCCCTGGGTTGGGGAGAGGAGAGGGAAAAACAGGGATGATGATAGCGGAATAAATGGGAGAGTAGTCTTTGTCTTCAAAGGGCAGGCCAGAGTAATTAATGATATCCTCTCTTCGAAGTGCCTGCCTCTCTACTGACTCTTTTTTTTTTTTTTGAGATGGAGTCTCACTCTGTCGCCCAGGCTGGAGTGCAGTGGCGCGATCTCAGCTCACTGCAAGCTCCACCTCCTGGGTTCACGCCATTCTCCTGCCTCAGCCTCCCAAGTAGCTGGGACTACAGGCACCCACCATCACGCCTGGCTAATTTTTGTATTTTTTTAGTAGAGACGGGGTTTCACCGTGTTAGCCAGGATGGTCTCGATCTCCTGACCTCGTGATCCACCCACCTCGGCCTCCCAAAGTGCTGGGATTACAGGCGTGAGCCACCGCGCCTGGCCCTCTCTACTGACTCTTTAATTCCTGGTATTCCTGAGTCACTTGGGGTGGGCTGAGGGGTCAAATACAGCCTGGATCTGTAGAGATTATAAGCAGCGCCCAGCCCAGTTTGTGGCCTCATATCAGATTCCTGTTTAGCCCCCTTGTCACCAACTCCTGACTTCTTGTGATGTCCCATTCCCTGAAGTCTTGTTGGCTCCTGACAGTGGCTTGGTATCCCTTGATCTCCCAGGAATAAGCTTCCAAAACCTTCACCAGTCTGCCACAGCCTTTCCCCTACTGGTTTCCCTAGTGTGAAGTTCAAGACTTTTAAAATTCCAACAGTTTGACTTATTAGTATCTCGCAGCCTAGTAGTTAAACAAATAAATGGCTAGTTTGTTTAAAATTTAAGGATAAGGGCCGGGCACGGTGGCTCATGCCTGTAATCCCAGTACTTCGGGAGGCCGAGGCAGGTGGATCACCAGAGGTCAGGAGTTTGAGGCCAGCCTAGCCAACATGGTGAAACCCCATCTCTACTGAAAATACAAAAATTAGCAGGGCATGGTGGCAGGCACCTGTAATCCCAGCTACCTGGGAGACTGAGGCAGGAGAATCACTTGAACCCGGGAGGCAGAGGCTGCAGTGAGCCGAGATTGCGCCACTGCTCTCCAGCCTGGGCAACAGAGCGAGACGCTGTATCAAAAAAAAAAAAAAAAAAGAAGAAGAAGAAGAAGAATTTTTGTGGCCTGCTGGGTCTCCCCACCCCGCCCCTCTTAGTTAAAAACGGTCTCACTGAAAGTTCAACCGTTCAACCAGGCTGGGAGGATAAGCCAGGAGCCTGCACAGTTTTCACCGTGGGGAGGCACATCTGGGGCATCCCCAGAGGGCTGTTTAGGCCTGGCAGGGAGGAGAGGTGGGGACTGGGATGAAAGGATATTTGTTTGACAAGGGACCGCTGTCTTTTTTTTTTTTTTTTTTTTTGAGATGGAGTCTCACTCTCTTGCCCAGGGTGGAGTGCAGTGGCACGATCTCAGCTCACTGCAACCTCTGCCTCCCCTGGTTCAAGTAATTCTCCTGCCTCAGCCTTTCCGTAGCTGGGATTACAGGCGCCTGCCACCATGCCTGGCTAAATTGTGTATGTATATATATATTTTTTGGTAGAGACAGGGTTTCACAATGTTGGCCAGGCTGGTCTCGAATGCCTGACCTCAAGTGATCTGCCTGCTTCAGCCTCCCAAAGTGCTAGGATTACAGGTGTGAGCCACCACGCCTGGCCACTGCTGTCATTTTTTAAAAAAATTTAAAATAGTCCTCTAATTTTTATGACAAAAACTATACATATTCCACTTAGAAAACTTGGGAAATATAAAAAAGCATAAAGAAAGGGATGAAAACCACACATAAGATCACCACTCAGAGATAGCCATTGGTAAGAGTATATTGTATTTCCTCCCAGTCTTTTTTTCTAGGCATAGCTATATCTCTCCATTGCTGCCTATAACATAATTTCTTTTTCTGACTATAAAAGCAACGTATACTTGGCCAGGTGCGGTGGCTAACGCCTATAATCCCAGCACTTTGGGAGGCCGAGGCGGGTGGATCATGAGGTCAGGAGTTTGAGACCAGCCTGGCCAAGATGGTGAAACCCCATCTCTACTAAAAATACAAAAATTAGCTGGGCACGGTGGCGGGTGCCTGTAATCCCAGCTACTCGGGAGGCTGAGGTAGGAGAATCGCTTGAACCCGGGAGATGGAGGTTGCAGTGAGCCGAGGTCATGCCACTGCACTCTAACCTGGGTGACAGAGCAAGACTCTGTCTCAAAAACAAACAAACAAACAAACAACAACAAAAAAAACAATGTATACTCAAGGTAAAATTTCCAAATGACAGAAAAAAGTTGGAAGAATAAAATGAAAATTACCTCAATTCTACTATCTGAGATGACTACTACTGATCCGTCTGTATAGTTCCTTTCAGTCTTTTTCATTTAACTGACATCATATAGTTCATCTGCTTCTGCTTTTTGCTTTATGTTTTATCATGTTCATTTTCCCGTGTCAACAAATGTGTATATGAAACATGATGTGTAAGGGCTGAATAGTCACTATGTGAACAGACCATAATTTATCCTTTTGCTTTTCAGGAGAGACAGGTTTGGGCAAGTCCACCCTCATGGACACCCTGTTCAACACCAAATTCGAAGGGGAGCCAGCCACCCACACACAGCCGGGTGTCCAGCTCCAGTCTAATACCTATGACCTCCAAGAGAGCAACGTGAGGCTAAAGCTCACGATCGTTAGCACAGTTGGCTTTGGGGACCAGATCAACAAAGAGGACAGGTAAAGAAGGCGGTGGGGTGGGGTAGGGTGGGGAGGTTGGTAGAGGGCCGCAGAGAGGAGCTCACCACAGAGATCTTGAAGACAGCACAGATATCGGGCCCAAGCCTGTCCTCCCAGAATGGTGTGGGCAGCAGCAGGTACCTCCCAAGCATAGGCCCTGTCTGGTGTCCCTGTCTACAGCAACTGTTCCACTCCACTCACTTTGCCAAAAGAAGGGTGTCTTTCTAGTATACATGGGTCAGGTCTCAATTCCATGCAGCAAACATTTATTGAGCTCCTACCTTGCGCCAGGTACTGTCGAGCTCTGACCATCTAAAAAGGAATGGCTTAGTCTCTGCCCTTGAGGGACTCATAGGCAAAACCGGTTTTAAGCAAATAATTTCCATAGAGTATAAGATGTTCTGTAAAGGACAGGGTACAAAGAGATAAAGGACAAGTTACAATGAGAACACAAAGGCGAGAACCATCAATTCCACGTAGGGAGGTCAGGGAAGCCTTCACAAAGGATGTGCCTCCTGAGCTGACTCTTGAAGGACGAACTGTTTTGCCAGACAGACAAGGGAATGGAGAGAGGGGCATCTCAGGCAGAAGTAACTGCCTGTATAAAGGCAAAGTGATGTGTAGGATTCTGGTATGTTCTAGGGAAGTGTAGCTTGCTCTCTTTGGCTAGACAGAGGCAGAGTCACTGTGAAGCTAATGAAGATTGCACAGGCCCCTTCCAAAGCTCTGTAACTAATGTTCAATCACAATGTCGTATTATTTTCCTCAGAGAGTCTTTCAGATTGCATAAGCCTAAGGGCTGGAAAAACCTGGTTCTGCCCCTGGGCTAACACTTGGAGTAAGCTTGGGGAAAAAACGGTGAGATGAGGCTGAAGAGGTAAGCAGGTGCCAGATCACAGAAGGATTTATGATCAAGGCAAGAGGTAAAATAGGTGCTGAGATAGGGAAGAGGAGACAGATTTGCTAAATACTGAGTAGGTAAATATCAACAGGACTTGGTAGGCACTTGGTGTGGGGTTGTGAAGGCAAAAGAAAAATCTAGAATGAGGCCCAAATTTCCAGCTTTGGAGAGTGGACACATGGTGATGGCATTCCGTAAGAGAACCAGGGTTCAAAATAATCAGCTCTGTTTTGGACATGTCAAGTTTGATCTGTCTGAGGAATACTGAGATACGCGATGACCTTCAGCAGTAGGCAGTTGAACACACAGAATTGGAGATGAGAAGAGGCTAGAAATAGATTGGGTTATCAAGGTAGAGGTGATATGTTCCAACCATGGACACATGTAAAATCACCCAGGGATCAGAGTAGAGTAAGAAGAACACTGGGCTAAAGACAAAAACCTCAGGATGCTAAGTCAATAGATGGAGGAAAAGACATCCTGAAAAGGGACTGAACAGGAATAAGCTGACAGGTAGGAGGGGGGACAGGAAAGATGTTGGGGGGCCAGGCAAGGTGGCTCACGCCTGTAATCCCAGCACTTTGGGAGGCCGAGGCGGGCAGATCACTTGAAGTCAGGAATTCAAGACCAGCCTGGCCAACATCATGAAACCCCGTCTCTACTAAAAATACAAAAATTAGGCGGGTGTGATGGCGGGTGCCTGTAATTCCAGCTAGTCAGGTGGCTGAGGCGGGAGAATCACTTGAATCCGGGAGGCAGGGTTGCAGTGAGCTGAGATTGCGCCACTGTACTCCAGCCTGGGCGGCAGAGCAAGACTCTGTCTCAAAACAAAACAGAAAGATGTAGGGGGTTGAGAATGTGTGTGAGTGAAGACTAGGTGAGGCTCAGAGATGGGAATGTGATGAGGGGTGGGGTCAGGTACCATCTGCATTTAACCAGAAGTCACATGGTTATCACATGTGCTCATTTCAGAAAGGGCCATTCATCATTTTAAGCAGAGGGTCTTCTCATTCTTTCAGGATTCTCTTGCTTCTTAGGTGAACTTTATGTCAAATTCTTTTATTTCCCCCTTAAAGCTACAACAGCCACACTCACTTCCTTATAATGAATAAATATATGTAGCTTCTTTTTATTTTATTTTATTTTTTTTGAGACGGAGTCTCGCTCTGTTGCCCAGGCTGGAGCGCAGTGGTGTGATCTCAGCTCACTGCAAGCTCCGCCTCCTGGGTTCACGCCATTCTCCTGCCTCAGCCTCCCGAGTAGCTGGGACTACAGGCTCGTGCCACCACACCCAGCTAATTTTTTTTTTTTGTATTTTTAGTAGAGATGGGGTTTCACTGTGTTAGCCATGTTGGTCTCAATCTCCTGACCTCATAATCCACCCTCCTTGACCTCCCAAAGTGCTAGGATTACAGGTGTGAGCCACCGTGCCCAGCCAAATATATATAGCTTCTTAATAATGGAACTGAGTTCTGTTTTGCATTTGAAATTCTAGAAAAAAGACATCTCTGCTTTTTTTTTTTTTTTTTTTTTTTTTTTGAGATGGAGTCACACTCTGTCACCCAGGCTGAAGTGCAGTGGCACAATCTCAGCTCACTACAACCTCCGCCTCCTGGGTTCAAGTGATTCTCCTGCCTCAGCCTCCCGAGAGTAGGTGGAATTAGTCACGCACCACCACACCCTGCTAATTTTTCTGTATTTTTAGTAGAGATGGGGTTTCACCATGTTGACCAGGCTGGTCTCGAACTCCTGACCTCAAGTGATCCCCCCCGCTCACCCCCGCCTTGGCTTCCTAAATTGCTGGGATTACAGGCATGAGCCACTGTGCCTGGCCACCTCTGCTTTTTATAGGCATGCTTATTGTGCTAATCTTGTTTGGTTGAGAATAAATTAAACTTTGGAGAAAGGATATTTGGGCCACAATATGAGTGCTTAATCTCAGCTGCAGATTGCTCAGAAACTTCAATTACATTTCTTACAGTTCTTTCAGTTACATACATTCAACATATCTAACATTGGACAATGCCTTGATAATAATGGCTTGGGAGGACTGAACAGATACTGCGCCTCAGAGGCAAATCTACTTCCGTTATAGTTTTAAGATATCCCTATTGTTTCTTCCCGATTATAAATGTGATACATACTTATAATAAATCAAATAAGTAGAAATGAAAAGCCTCCTTGAAATTGCACTGAGGAGCAGGGGTGGAGTAAGCTCCAGGGATCTGTAATAAAAAGCAGTGTTTTCTTCATGCTGTTAGGGCCATGTTAGCATAGATATGTCAGTGAAGCATCATTGAAACAAGGCATTAGAATATCCCGCTTTACAAGGGCTCATGCATAAACTAGGAAGAGGAATGACTAAGGCCGGATACTGCGGAAAGCTACCATTTAAAGGATGCTGGAGGCAGGGCACAGTGGCTGAAGCCTGTAATTCCAGCACTTTGGAAGGCCAAGGTGGGTGGATCACTTGAGGCCAGGAGTTCAAGACCAGCCTGGCCAACATGGTGAAACCCCCGTCTCTACTAAAAATACAAAAAATTAGCTGGGCATGGTGGTATGTGCCTGTAATCCCAGCTACTCGGGAGGCTGAGGCACAAGAATTGCTTGAACCCGGAAGGTGGCGGTTGCAGTGAGCTGAGATCGCGCCATGGCACTCCAGCCTAGACAACAGAGTGAGACTCCATCTCAAAAAATAAAAATAAAAAAGGATGCTGGAGAAAAGGGGATTTAAGGGAGAGACTGAGAAGGACAAGCTGGAGAGGGGAGTGCTTAGGAACCTAGGCTTTGGTCTCAGACCTGGGTTCAAATTTCATCTTGCTGTCTTTTTAGCCCAGGGATCTTGAACAAGGTACTTAAATTTTCTATGCCTCAGTTTTCTCATCTGTAAAATGGGGATGATAATGATGGATGATAATAATAATACTACCTACCTTAGAGAGTTGTGGTGAAGCACATTTGACATGTGTGGAATATGAAATGCTTAAACACCTGGCACAGAGTAACTGCCTCATAAACTGAAGATATTATGATCATGATTTTTATTGATAGAAGAATCAAGGAACAGCTAAATCATGTAGTATATGGGAAGGAATGATACATGGTATCCAGGAAGACGAGAACTGCAAAATATTCTTTGGGTTTGGTGATATGAAGGTCAGTAATACATTTCAGAATAATAATTCGAGGGGAACTGTGGGTGGAAGCCAGATTACCGTGATTGCTGAGTGAATGGAAAGTAAGCATGTAAAGGCATCAGAAGAGCAAAAAGAGCAATGGAACAGAAAAGTCAGTCTAAGACCAGATTCCTGCTCATATGGAAATTTAGCATATGTAAGTCAGCAGGGGAAGAATGGACTATTCAGGAGATGATGCTGGGAAAATAGGCCATCTATTTAGGAAAAAAATAAAACGAGACCCTCTCACACAAACACCATTCACAAAAATAGATTCCCATTGGACTAAAAACAGATTTCTAAAAATATAAGGAGAAAACATCAGAGAATATTTTTATAACTTTGGGGGTAGAGAAGGCTTTTCCAATCATGACACAAAATTCAAAAGTCATAGAAGAAAAGACTGATGGATTTAAATTCATTAAAATAAAAAACCCTTTTGTATTGAAAGATACCATAAACAAAAGTACAAACAAGCTACAGATGGGGAGAAGATATTTGCTGCCTAAATAACAGACAAAGGATTCTTCTAAAATGGAAAAAGAGCTTCTACAATTCAATGAGAAATAAACAAATAATTTACAGAAGGGGAAATACTTATGTACAATCAACATATGAAATGATGGTCATTCAACTTCCCCAGTAATTAAAGAAATGCAAAATGAAACAAATATTTTTTATCCATCAGATCTGCAAAAACAAAAGGATGGTATAATATCCACTAACACGAGGTAATTTCATTCACGTTGATGGGACTGTAAATTGATATAGACTTCTTGGAGGGCAAATTTGGCAGTATCTATTAAAATTTTAAATGTGAATAATTTATGACCCAGCAGTTCCACCTTTTAAGTATACAGCCTAGAGAAACAGTTGCACATGCTCCTGAGAAGCATAGAGAAAGCATGTTCACTGTAGCTTTGGTTATTGAATGAAAAACAATTTAAACAGTCTAAATTTCTACCAACAGAGCAATTAAATAAACTGTGGAATTACCATACCATGGAATTGTGTTTGGCAGTTTAATAGAATGAGGTAGATCGATATATACTCACATGGCTAGATCTCAGGATATGTTGTTAAGTGAAAAAAAGAAGTTGCAGAATGATCACGATGCGGTGTCTGTAAATCTGCCCCCCTCCCTCCAATAAAACCACAAATATTTCTCTCTATTTATGTGCGTAGATGCATAGAAAAAGGTCTGGAAAGATAATCAGCAAACTGAAAATAGAGGTTATCTGTGAGGAAGGAAGAATCGGTATTCTTTTTTATTTTTTTGAGACGGACTTTCGCACTGTTGCCCAGACGGGAGTGCAGTGGCGCTATCTCGGCTTACTGCAAGCTCCGCCTCCCGGGTTCACGCCATTCTCCTGCCTCAGCCGCCCGAGTAGCTGGGACTACAGGCGCCCACCACCACGCCCGGCTAATTTTTTTTGTATTTTTAGTAGAGACGGGGTTTCACCGTGTTAGCCAGGATGGTCTTGATTTCCTGACCTCATGATCCGCCTGCCTCGGCCTCCCAAAGTGCTGGGATTACAGGCGTGAGCCACCGCACCCGGTCGAGAATAGGTGTTCTTGCATAAATAAATTTAGGTTAAGCGCGGTGGCTCTTACCTCTAATCCCAACACTTTGTGGGGCCAAGGTAGAAGGATCACTTGAGCCCAAAAGTTCAGGACCAGCCTGGATAACATAAAGAGACCCCGTCTCTACACAAAAATAAAAAATTAGCCAGGTGTGGTGGTGTGTGCCTGTAGTCCCAGATACTCAGAAGGCTGAGGCAGGAGAATCGCTTGAGCTCATGAGTTCGAGGTCACAGTGAGCTATGATCATGCCATTGTTCTCCAGCATGGGCAATAGAGCGAGGCCTCGTCTCTAAAAAATAGATAAAAAAGAAAGCTTGTCTGAGCTGGGAGAAATACACAAGGCCATGTCTAGAGGGGGACAAGGAGGTCAGGGGCAACTCTTGAGGATGGGAGAGATGATGAGGGCTTGAACAGGAAGAGAAGCTTTGAGGATAGAGAGGAGGGGCAGATTTGAGAGAATTGACAAGACTGAGAACCAAGTTGCCGTGGAAACCTAGTCCACTTTATAAACTTAAATGTCTACTATGTGACAAGTACAGTGTGAAGTGTCAGAGATACTAAGAAATAAGGCACAGTTTTTTTGTTTTGTTTTTTTTTTTTTTGAGACGGAATCTCACTCCGTTGCCCAGGCTGGAGTGCAGTGGTGCGATCTCGGCTCACTGCAACCTCCGCCTCCCAGGTTCAAGCAATTCTCCTGCCTCAGCCTCCCGAGTAGCTGGGACTACAGGTGCCTACCACCATGCCTGGCTAATTTTTGTATTTTTAGTAGAGACGGGGTTTCACTGTGTTGGCAGGGCTGGTCTCGAACTCCTGACCTCAGGTAATCCGCCTGCCTCGGCCTCCCAAAGTGCTGAGATTATGGGTGTGAGCCACCCCACCTGGCCTCCACATTTTCACATTTTCTTTATTTTATTTTATTTATTTAATTATTTTTTGAGACGGAGTCTCACTCTGTCGCCCAGGCTGGAGTGCAGTGCCTCAATCTTGGCTCACCGCAACCTCCGCCTCCTCGGTTCAAGCAATTCTCCTGCCTCAGCCTTCTGAGTAGCTGGGATTACAGGCGCACGCCACCATGCCCAGCTAATTATTATATTTTTAGTAGAGACGGGGTTTCACCCTGTTGATCAGGCTGGTCTCGAACTCCTGACCTCGTGATCCGCCCACCTTGGTCTCCCAAAGTGCTGGGATTACAGGCGTGAGCCACTGCGCCTGGCCTCCACATTTTCTTTATCCGGTCATCAGTTGATGGACATTTGGGTTGTTTCCACCTTTGGGCTACTGTGAATAATTTACTCAAGCTGGGTTCACCAAGTCCCACCTCCCTGGCCGTCTTCCCATTGCTCAAACCTGTCAGACTGGTTTCTGCCTCAGAACCATCCTCACATTTATTATTCCCACTGCCTGGAATGCTCTTCACCCAGATCTCTCCATGGCTCTGTCATCCTCATCCTTGCGGCTCAAATGTCACACCCTTAGAGAAGCCTTCCCTGATCACTGTATTTAAAGTAGTTGAACCCTCAATCACATGTATATCCCATTATCCTATTGGAGTATCTTCATAGTACATATCATTATCCGAAATGAATAAGTATTATTGTCTAGACCAGGGGTTATTTTGTGCCATTGGCCCCGTTAGCAATCTAGTGAGGCCTATGGGCTCATTCTCAAAATAATGTTTTTAAATGCCTAAAATATACCAAGTATACTAAAAATACAGTTACTAAAATATTTAAAAATTGTGACTTAGCAATCCATGTGCTTCTCTATCAATTCCAGAAGTAATAATATCTATATGCAGGCTTAATAATTACCAGAATTTGAATGTTGTAATGAGTATAAATGCTATTTTGAGCTATTTACAACAACTGGAATGGGAAATGATGATATCAGTGATTTCTATTGGTTATGAAATCACAGGTACTGCTAACATTACTATAGATTGTTACCTATGTCTGCAGCTGAAGAAACTGCTAAACTTCAGTTAGAGATTAGTGAAAAAGATGTATTTTTTTCCTATCTAAGTTCACAGATCCTCTGAATTCTATTCACAGAACCTAGGAGGTCCATGAACCCTGTGTTAAGAACGGCTGTCTTGAAATGTCAAAGATTATCAGTAGTGATGGGGAGGGATGGAGTCTGTTGGAGCTGGTTTTGGTCGAAAATGGAGGAGATGAGGAGATCACAGTGAGCGAGGGAATCAAGAGCTAGAAGAAAGCTGCCCTCTCTGCCCTTCCATGGGACTTGGGTGTGGAGATGAAGAAATTTCCAGTTGAGAAGGATATGAGAAAAGCAGCATCTCTGAAGGATAGTCAGGTGTCACTTAGAGGAAGGAAGCAGTTTGGGAGGAGGTAGCCTATAAGAGTAAAGGATTTTGTTTACCACCCACTGGAGTCCAGTGAGCAGCACAACAGAGTGTGGGAGAGAGGTGGCCACCGTGGGAAGATGAGTCACTGGGGCCTGGGGGTGGAGGGAATGCAGAGCAGTAGCGGAAACTTTACTATGTTCCAGACAGCAGGCTAGACGTGGAGGATACAGAGATGAATAAGACGAAGATAAGCCACCCATTTAGGATTCGTCTACACCAAATCCTGGTGGCTGATTGGCTGGTTTGGCTGGTCTGATCCATGTACATCTTGAGAGCTTCCGAGAGCCAGAGGCAATTGCAGTAAGACAGGCACAGGGTATCACTACAGATTTCGGGGTGTGTGGGGGAGCTAAAAAATGCACTTTTTAGCTTTATTTTCTTTCCTCTGATTCCTTCTGCAAAGCAAAAAATGAAGTAAAAAAAAATTACGTAATTGAGAAAAAAAATGAAGCAGTGCCATCATCAACTATTTCAAATCAGCAAAACATCCAAAAATTAATTAAATAAGCCTAGGGGATACATTCCCCACCCTCACTCCAAATTCGTCAGGAACCTTCTAAGGATCTTTGCAACCAAGAGATTCTTTGATGCGATTACCCTTCGGAACAGTGGCTCGGAGGGATCAAAGGAATAAAGAAAGGACTATGTTTTTAGAGTTTTCTCTGGGGCTTGGGAGGCAGAGGTTGCAGTGAGTGGAGATCGCACCACTGCACTCCTGCCCGGGCAACAGAGCGAAACTCCATCTTAAAAAAAAAGATTTTTCTCTGGGGCTCCAGAGATAGCCTGCACCTGGATCTCAGCTCTGGCTGCAGCTCTCAGAATCTAGGATCCTGTGATTCTTTCTTAAAAGGCTATTTTCCCCTTCTCTACTAGGGGGATCTTTCAGAAAGGCTCAGCCTGGGAGCTGCTGCAGGTGGGAGGCATTGGCTGGGCTCAGCTCCTCCTTTGATCATCATGTTCCCTTCTGGCAGCGGTATCTGAAAACTCCCTGCCCTGGGCCCACATGACAAGCCTCTTCTAGCCTGAAGGGAGGCACCCCCTCAGCCAGAGAGGCAGCAGACAGACAGGGGAGATGAGAACAAGAGGCAGAGCTGAGCTAAGCTGACCTAGTTAGAGCAGAAAGAGGCCGTAGGGGTGACGGGGATGACGTGGGAGGGGACTGGGACAGAGGGAGAGGGAAGTTTCCCAGGGAGGCCCAGGAAAGAGAGACATAGAGGGCTGACTGTTGTTTAAGAAGCCTTGGCAAGACTTGGGGGCCACCTAGAGGAGCCGCGTGTGGAGACTCAGTGAGCTGGCGGGCCTGTGTCCATGTGTGCAGGGTGTGCGGAGGGGAGTAGCTTTACCAGATTTTGCCTGAATACTTTGTTTGTTTGTTTGTTTGTTTTTGGAGATGGGGTCTCACTCTGTTGCCCAGGCTGGAGTGCAGTGGCATGATCTCCACTCACTGCAACCTCTGCCTTCCGGGTTCAAGCGATTCTCCTGCCTCAGCCTCCTGAGTAGCTGGGATTACAGGCATGAGCTACCACAGCTGGCTAATTTTTGTATTTTTAGTAGAGACGAAGTTTTGCCGTGTTGCCCAGGCTGGTCTCGAATCCTGAGCTCAGAAGATCCGCCCGTCTCAGCCTCCCAAAGTGCTGGGATTACGAGCCATGATCCACTGTGCCTGGCCTGAATACTTAAAGTCACCACCTTGGCAGAAATGAGAATCAGAAAAATATCTTGACCTTGGGGGAGCCAAGTGTGGAGCTCCGCTAAACCTAGCGAGAATGAGCAAAAGCCCTGAATGTTCTCACAAGATTGCCCAGCAGTGGGCCAAAGAGAGGTCTTGTTACCCACTGTGTACCCAGCTCTCATCTAGGCACTGTAGGGCGAGATAAAGGGAGCAAAGACATGAGCCCAGCTTGGAGGAAAATCAGTCCCTCTACAGATACAGCCAGTGGGCTCCATGCTGTGTTGGGGCCCCCCGAGGGACAGACAAGTGCCCTTCACAGGCCCTGCTCTTTAGGAAGGCACAATCTATTTGAGAGAATCCTTGTGAAGCAACAATAAGTAATTGAATGCCATTTCTTGTTATGCCCCTGACTCGCAGAAGGGATTTCTGGCATAAGTGGGGAAGGCCGTAGGAAGGAGGAGGACATTAAGCTGAGCCCTGAGGTCTGGGAGGGCAGAATTGGGATGAGGAGAGAGAAAGGGGCATTCTAGTGAAGGTGCACAGATGGGCATAAGTTTGGCTCATGTAGGGACCAAGAAGGTGGCCAGGCTGACAAGATTGGAGGCCCACTGAAGGGAGATGGAGAAATGCAGTTGGATGGGAGAGAGTCAAGATTACAGAGGGCATTTGAAACTTCCAAAAAGGACGGTGTCAAAATCCAAGTTTTTGACGGGATCCGCCTCTGTCCCTGCTCTCCCTTTTAGCTACAAGCCTATCGTGGAATTCATCGATGCACAATTCGAGGCCTACCTGCAGGAAGAGCTAAAGATCCGAAGAGTGCTACACACCTACCATGACTCCCGAATCCATGTCTGCTTGTATTTCATTGCCCCCACGGGTCATTCCCTGAAGTCTCTGGACCTAGTGACTATGAAGAAGCTGGACAGTAAGGTATAGGAGGCAGGGGCGGGGGCGCTGGGGGCTCACTCTTACTGATCTCTTGTGCAAAGTAGATGTGGGATTCCGGGAGAGATTTGTGGCATCCTCATCCTCTCCCTCATTCCCTGTCCCTCCATAAAGATGGTGTTACGGATCCAGCACCAGCGTCGTAAGCTTTGTGATCTGTTTTCCCAGCACTAGGGATGGGCTTGCCCTGAGCTGTCTTTCTGCCCTGATCCCTCTTGGGGACTAGCAAGATGGCTCCCTGGGTCTAGGGGCAAAGGCTTTGGCAATGGAAAGCTGTTTTTTTCTTTGTCCGAATGTTAACTGGCTAGAATCAAACATGCAAACTTGACTTTGAAAGTTATTCTTGCTATCAATAATTACTTTTATGATTGCAGTTAACATTAAAACCCTCATTATATGCCAGCCCCGTGAAGTACACATTATTGTTATCTTCATTTTACAGAAGAGAAAACTGAGGCTCTCAGAGGTTAAGTGACTTGCTCATTGTCATATTGCTAGCTACTGGTAGAGTGCAGATTCTGTGACACTCAGATCTGTGACCCCATGTTATAATGCTTCCATGCCCGAGAAAGATGGCTGTGGGAATCAGGCGTTGTCTTCCTTTAAGAAAAACTTGGCTGGGTGCGGTGGCTCACACCTGTAATCCCAGCACTTTGGGAGGCCAAGATAGGCGGGTCATCTGAGGTCAGGAGTTCGAGACCAGCCTGGCCAACATGGCGAAATCCCGTCTCTACTAAAAATACAAAAATTAACTGGGCATGGTGGTGCGCATTTATAATCCCAGCTATTGGGGAGGCTCAAGCAGGAGAATCGCTTGAACCTGGAAGCGGAGGTTGCAGTGAGCTGGAATCATTCCACTGCACTCCAGCCTGGGCGACACAGCCAGACTCCGTATCAAAAAAATAATCGAATTCACATGCAGCCATTTAGTAGCACATCCACTCTAAGACTGAATTTCAGCTCTCATCAGAATAGGAGCAGTTTTTCATTTTTTGCAGCAATAGGCTCATGGCCCATGAATAAAAGGCTGCTCTTGAAATGTGGCCATGCCCTGCATGTCCTGTATAGGGGCATTGGTGAGCCACATGGCTGCAGGCCTGGTGGATGGGCCGAGTTAAGCCTTTGAGATAGATAGATACATATATATTTATTTATTTATTTATTTTTGAGACGGACTTTCACTCTTGTTGCCCAGACTGGAGTGCAATGGCACGATCTTGGCTCACCGCAACCTCCGCCTCCTGGGTTCAAGCAATTCTCCTGCCTCAGCCTCCCGAGTAGCTGGGATTATAGGCATGCACTACCATGCCTGGATACTTTTTATTTTTAGTAGAGACGGGGTTTCACCATGTTGGCCAAGCTGGTCTCGAACTCGCAACCTCAGGTGATCTGCCCACCTTGGCCTCCCAAAGTGCTTGGATTAGCAGCATGAGCCACTGCCCCTGGCCTGATATATGTTTATAGTGTGTCAATGGGGACTTGGCGAAAGTGCCAAGGAGAATAGGCTCTGCCTGCTGTTTCATCTTGGCAAGGGCTTTGACCCTTCTGCCCCTGAAAGACTTCAAGGGAGGTGCCTCCACGGTTCAGTCTTTCCTTGACCCAGCGGCTGTGTGATATCAGCCTTCAGAGGCACTCCTAAGCCAAAGCGCAGAGGAAGCAGGATTTTTCTTCCACGTCTGGAGCTCCCAGACTCCCCTTTTAGAGTCCGGGGCCTGAGTGCCACCTATGCCCCTCCCCCACCCCCCGTTGGAGTCTACTGGCAGGAATGATTATGCTCTCCATGTCAACCTGAACTTAGTGTGCTCTGTCTCACAAACACATGTGCATTTCAAGTTTCTTTACCTTCTGACAGTAAAAGCCTTGTCCCTTCTTGGAGGAATTTCAAGGATTAGGGTTCAGGTGGATTGAACTTTTGGTTGGGATTAGTTCTTTCTCCTGATGCCTGAAATTGGGCATTTATACTTGCTTTTCTTACTCAGAAATTAATCATGAGACTCAGGCAGTATAATTCTTTTTGCATAAGTCTCAGATCAAATTGTAACTATAGGTTCTTCCTCACCTAACTGAGTTGATTATTCAGTGTCTCCTGCCAGAAAGAGAGCCAGGTGTGCATCCTCACTGAGCACTGTCCCTGCCTCCTTTCCCTGCCATCTCTCATGTGGGTCCATATCACACCCGGCTTGGGCTAGACTAGACCCGATGGGTTGGGACAATTTACTCTTAGCAAGAAGAGGCCACCTCTCCCCTGTCAGCCACAGATTCCCAGCTATCACCTTTCTGCTTCAAGTCTCCCAAGCAGTAACCTTGATACCAAGATAACATACAGCTCATCAACTTGGATCTGAACTGGTAGACAGCTCATGCTTAAGACTATGGACTTAGGAATAAGGCTGAGTTTGGATTTGAATCCCAGTTCTCCTACTTACCTGCTCCATGGCCTTGGACAAGTTACTTAACCTCCCTATGCCTTAATTTCTCATTGGCAAAATAGTAGTAATAATACCTCCTGGAAGGGTTATTGTCAGGATTAATTGTGCTAATTCATGTAAAGCACTTAGTTCAGTGCCCAGCACATAGTTAGTACTTGTCGTTTATTATATTGTCATTTGGCTACAGAAGTGGCCAGTCTTTGACCACTGGGCTGAGCGGCTCCCTCTGGCAGCTGGTGGAAGTCCTAGGTCATGCTGCTATCAGTTGCAGGTTACCAACAATGACCCCACTTTGCCCCTCCTCTCCCTAGGTGAACATCATCCCCATCATTGCCAAAGCAGATGCCATTTCGAAGAGTGAGCTAACAAAGTTCAAAATCAAAATCACCAGCGAGCTTGTCAGCAACGGAGTCCAGATCTATCAGTTTCCTACAGATGATGAGTCGGTGGCAGAGATCAATGGAACCATGAACGTGAGTGGGAGCAATTTCCTGACCATTTGCTTTTTATGATGATTATCATTATTTTAATGTGCTTTAGAGACAGGGTCTTGCTCTGTTGCCCAGGCTGGAGTGCAGTGGTGTGATCACAACTCACTGCAGCCTTGAACTCCTGGGCTCAAGGGATCCTCCCGCCTTAGCCTCCCAAGTAGCTGGGATTACAGGTGCACTCACCACACCTGGCTAATGTTTTAATGTTTTGTAGAGACGGGGTCTTGCTATGTTGCTCAGGCTGGTCTTGAACCCCTGGGCTCAAGCGATCCTCCTGCCTCAGCCTCCCAAAGTACTGGGATTACAAGTGTGAGCCACCACGCTGACCCCTTTATTATTATTATTATTTTACCAAATAGCAGCAAAACATCTTCACCATCCATCTTAGTGTAGTCAACTCTTTTTTTCTTTTACTTTTTTTTTTTTTTTTTAAGACAGGATCTCATTCCATTGCCCAGGCTAGAGTACAGTGGCACAATCTCGGCTCACTGCAACCGAGATATGTTATTTTTAAATATCAGGGTTGGCTGGGCATGGTGTCTCACGCCTGTAATCCTAGCACTTTTGGAGGCCGAGGCGGGTAGATCACCTGAGGTCGGGAGTTTGAGACCAACCTGGCCAACATGGCAAAACCCCGTCTCTACTAAAAAATACAAAAATTAGCCAGGCGTGGTGGTGTGCGCCTATAATCCCAGCTACTCTGGAGGCTAAGGCAGAGGTTGCAGTGAGCCAAGATTACGCCATTGCACTCCAGCCTGGGCGACAGAGTGAGACTCCATCTCAAAAAAAAAAAAAAAAAAAAAAAAATCAGCGTTATGCTTTGCTTTATTAAGTGTGAATGAATAATAATAATAAAAAACCTTGCCATCTTTCCTCTCCTCCCCCACTTTCTCCTACTAGAGAAATGAGTAATAAAGAAGGCAGAGATGCAAACATCTCCTAATGCTTCCTTACAATGTGTTGCTGTTGCTGTGAAATCTTCAATGTTGTGATTTCAAGGAGACAGCTAATAGCTTTCAGAAAGCCTCCGCTTTAGGAACAGATTTCTTTTTCTCTATTGAGTGTCATCAGTTTTTCCTAATGACATAATGCCTGGGTATAGCCAAACTCAGGAAAGCCTTGTAATAAAAGCCATTTTTAGAAAACTTTCCTGCTGCCACTGCCCTCTAAGTTATCATTACAACTTCAGCTGCCACCTCCTATGAATTGGCCAACAAATTAGCATAGCAGGGCAGCAAGTCATTGTCTCTCCTGACTTCCTGTCCATCAGTACACCCGAGATGTGTTTGTTATCACCATCACCATCTTAGACAAATCTGGCTCAAGGGTAAGGCTATCTGGAGCATGGTAGGTAGAGATAGGTCTTCTCTGACCGGCCGTGGGCATGGAAAAAATAAAAAAGATTAGCACTTGTCCTCTCGAGAAGTCAGGGCATTTTGATGGAAACTAGGCTCTGTTATGAAGAGACAGCCTAGTCTGCAGAAAAACGGGAGCCTCGCGAGAAGTGTCATCTGGGTGCCACGGGCACTGATGTCTGGAAGCGTCTAGTCACCTCAGGACATCAGTCCCCATAGAGACCTTCTGAACACTGATGCCCTAAGTCATCAAGCAGCTTGCAGGCTTGTGGTTTGCTTTGCTAAGAATAAATAGGGACTGAGAGTACTCAGCCATCTCAAGGTGTCACACAGAACCACATCTTGGTACCTCATGGATTAGGAGTGATAATCATCCTGGGCTCTGTTCTCAGCTCAGCTCTGGCCTCCTGCTAAGCCTAGGGTAGGCTCAACCTCAAGGCTGGAAACCCCCAAGCTAGGCAGCAGCAGTTGTCAAGCATGCTGTTATGGCTGTGAAGGGATTCTGGGTCCTTTATTACTCATAATTGTGTTTCACTTTGAGAAACAAAATTCGAGGCTGAACAACATAGTGAGACCTCATCTCTACTGAAATTTAAAAAAAATTAACTAGTGGCCGGGCGCGGTGGCTAACGCCTGTAATTCCAACACTTTCGGGGGCCAAGGCAGGTGGATCACCTCAGATCAAGAGTTCGAGACCAGCCTGACCAACATGGAGAAACCCCGTCTCTAGTAAAAAGACAAAATTAGCCAGGCATGGTGGCGCATGCCTGTAATCCCAGCTACTCAGGAGGCTGAGGCAGGAGAATCGCTTGAACCCAGGAGGCAGAGGTTGCAGTGAGCTGAGATCTCGCCTTTGCACTCCAGCCTGGGCAACCAGAGCAAAACTCCATCTCAAAAAAGAAAAAATTAACTGGTGCTGTGGCGCACACCTGTAGTCTCAGCTACTTGGTCGGTGGGTGGCCTAAAGTGGGAAGATTACTTGAGCCTGGGAAGTTGAGGCTGCGGTGAACCCTGATCGAGCCACTGCACTACTGCAGGCTGGGTGACAGAGCAACACCCTGTCTCACAAAAAAAAAAAAAGAGAGAGAGAAAGGAAAGGAAAGAAAAAGAAAGTAAATAAAGAGAGAAAGAGAGAAAGAAATAAAAAGGAAGGAAGGAAGGGAGGAGGGAGGGAGGGAATTCCAGTGGAAGGAAGGAAGGAAGGAATGGAGGAAGGGAGGGGAGGGGAGGAGAGGAGAGGAGCAGGGAATTCCAGTGGATTCAGGATTATCCCTATCATAAATCACTCACCACTTACTCCCTTGCATCCTACTGTGCTTTGTTTTTTTTTTGAGACAGGCTCTCACTCTGTCGCCCAGGCTGGAGTACAGTGATGCAATCAATTTCAGCTCACTGTAGCCTCCACCTCCTGGGTTCAACTAATCCTCCTGCCTCAGCCTCCCGAGTAGCTGGGACCACAGGCATGCACCACCATGCCCGGCTAATCCACTATGGGTTTTTTTTGAGTGGGAAAGAGAGGAGTGGCCTCACAGCTAGTGTGCCTGAATTGGCATGCCTGTGAGAGGAGCTTGCATGTGAGTGTTTTGTGTTACATGCGCTGTGATGGGAAAGAGGGTGCTATCAAATATACACAGAGGATTGCTTAGCCTGCCTGCCACCGAACAACTATGTCAAAAGTCCCCAGAGTCTTCACACAAGCCGTGGTGTATGAAGCTGCATCCTCAGGACCTGGGCTTGGGTGGTAGGAGGAATTGGTGCTGGTCTTTCATTTTGGATTTGACTCCAGCCCCACAGCCTCAGCCACCCCAGCCAATTGTCATAGGAGCTGGATTGGAAGAAGCGGAAGAAATCTGTTGCCTGAGTGGAGAAGACTGTACAATGTCCTGTCTCTCACCATGGGGGATTTTTGTGGCAGGAAATGAGAGTAATGAGGTCCCTGCCACCACCTTGAATTATGGGTGGCTCCAGAAAACCTTATTGTAGATTGAGGGGGAAGAGAAGGGAGAGCGAGGTCTTGTTGCATGCTATTTTCAACCCATGCTCTGATATCTCTCAAGGTTGTAGACTTTAATACTAAGAATTGCTATGTTATTTTAAATTTAATGATGTTCTTTGAATGGCTGAAAGCATGGCCAGGACCAGCAAAAAGGCCCAGTTACTTAATTGACTGAGCTCCATTAATTGTCCATTTGTGAGGTCTGGGGTTTGGTTCCCACAAAGGCAATTGACATTTGGGCCCAGTGAGAACACATGGCTGAACAGTAGGGTCATAGGAAGACCCACAGGCACAAGTCCATCCCTTCCTCTGAGACAGCAATGGTATTTCCATTGTTGCCATGTACTTTTACAGGAATCACCAGTGGTTGACTTGAGAGCAAATCAGCCAATGGTCTTGTTCAGTCACCAGCAGGGGCCTGAAATGGGGACTAACATAACTGGGAAACACTGTCCACCCTGGGAGGAAACCAAGCCCAATCAGAATATTATCATTAGATGAGGAATAAAGAGTTCTGACAGTGTGTATTTCACTGGGCTAAGCAGTCACCTAGCCTCCCAAGTATAATGGATGTGGTGAAATAAGAATAAAGTAACTCACGCCAATTGGATTATTAAGTACTTTACAATGTACAAGAAGAATTTAAGTTAGACACAAGTCAGTAAAGGTGGTGCTATGGTTTGATTGTGTCCCCTCCAAAATTCAGGTGTGGCCAGTATGATAGTATTAAGAGGTCGGGGCTGGGTGCAGTGGCTCACACGTGTAATCCCAGCACTTTGGGAGGCCAAGGTGGGCGAATCACAAGGTCAAGAGATCGAGACCATCCTGGCCAACATGGTGAAACCCCGTCTCTACTAAAAATACAAAAAATTACCAGGCGCAGTGGCTCATACCTGTAATCCCAGCTACTTGGGAGGCCGAGGCGGGTGGATCACCTGAGGTCGGGAGTTCGGGACCAGCCTAACCAACATGGAGAAACCCCGTCTCTACTAAAAATGCAAAATTAGCCGGGCATGGTGGCACATGCCTATAATCCCAGCTACTCAGGAGGCTGAGGCAGGAGGATCGCTTGAACCCAGGAGACGGAGGTTGTGGTGAGCTGAGATCACGCCATTGCACTCCAGCCTGGGCACCAAGAGCAAAACTCCATCTCAAAAAAAAAATAGCTGGGCATGGTGCCACACACCTGTAGTCTCAGCTACTCGGGAGGCTGAGGCAGGAGGATCACTTGAACCCGGGACGCGGAGGTTGCAGTGAGCTGAGATCACGTCACTGCACTCCAGCCTGGCGACAGAGTGAGACTCCGTCTCAAAAAAAAAAAAAAAAAAAAAGGTAGGGCCTTTAGGAATTGATTGGGCCTGGCCAGGCGCGGTGGCTCACACCTGTAATCCCAGCACTTTGAGAGACCAAGGCGGGTGGATCACCCAAGGTCAGGAGTTCAAGACCAGCCTGGCCAACATGGCGACATCCTGTCTCTACTAAAAATACAAACATTAGCTGGGCGTGGTGGCAGGCACCTGTAATCCCAGCTACTCAGGAGGCTGAGGCAAGATAATCGCTTGAACCCGGGAGGCGGAGGTTGCAGTGAGCCGAGATCGTGCCATTGCACTCCAGCCTGGGCAACAAGAGCGAAACTCTCATCTTAAAAAAAAAAAAAAAATGTGATTGGGCCATGAGGGCTTCTCCCTTGTTAATGGGATGAAGGCCCTTTTTTTTTGAGATGGAGTCTCGCTCTGTCGGCCAGGCTGCAGTGCAGTGGTGCGATCTTGGCTCGGCTAACCACAACCTCCGCCTCCCAGGTTCAAGCAATTCTCTGCCTCAGCCTCCCGAGTAGCTGGGATTACAGGCGCCCGCCACCACGCCCGGCTAATTTTTGTATTTTTAGTAGAGATGAGGTTTCACCATCTTGGCCAGGCTGGTCTTGAACTCCTGACCTCGTGATCCACCTGCCTTGGCCTCCCAAAGTGCTGGGATTACAGGCGTGAGCCACCACACCTGGCCGAAGACCCTTTTTAAAGAGACATCATGCAGTGTTGGGCTAGCTTGTCCTTCTGCTGTGTGAGGATGCGGCAAGAAGGTCCTCACCAGACCAGAATGCTGGTGCCTTGATCTTGGACCTCCCAGCCTCCAGAACTATGAGGAATAAATTTTTTTTTTTTGAATAAATTTCTATTGTTGATAAATTACTCAGTCTCAGGTAGTTTACTGTAGCAAGACAAAATGCACTAAGACAGATGGTGAATCTAGGAATGGACTCCCAAGGAAGGCTTGCGACTATCTCTTGTTGGAGTTTTCTGACACTGGGAAATCTGATATCCGAGGGCGCCTCATTGGAAGTCTGAGTGAGAGAGTCACACAGACTCTCCTGAGAGGCCTGTTTGTGTTTCAGCAGCAACACTGCCCTGCATCTATCAGAGTCTCTTCCCTGGGTCCACACATAGAAAATGTCACCACTGTCTGTCAGTTTCCTGCAGAGACCTGGGAAAAATAGCAGAAAGCCTGGCCTCAGATTTGGATCCCATTGGTAGGACCTAGAAGTATGGTCCGTGGTGGTGCGGGGGGAGGGTGGGTATCTGCTCTCTGCTCTGCTCGACTCTATTCTGGTTGTCAAAGCCATCTGTCTCTCAAAAGCAGTGGAACAGAGGGCCAGAGCCTGGTCCCCATGATTTCCTGCTTGTCATGGTTTGCTTCCTTCTAGCAGATGCCATGTAGCCAGGAGGCAGAGTGCGGACCACCCTAGGTGGCTGGGAGAGGTTGGCAGCCAAAGCTCGGTGGCCTCGCTGCTGCTTCAGAGGATCTGGGCATGGGGGTTAGGGACCTAGGCAACTCGTTTAACCTCCATGTATCCCAGTTCCCTCAGCTCACGAATGGATCTTTTAATCATTGCCATAGAAGGATGTTGTGAAAATCAAACCAAAGGAGAGCGCTGGGAAATGCCTACCTTGCATATACTTATCAAAGCAGACTGACGCCAGCTGCAAAGGAGCGTGCTGTGGGAGGGCTGGGGCTATGTTTTTGAGCTAGAAGAATAAAATGACAGCAGTTTGAGAAAGAGGGGGAAGCAAGTCACCCTATCATTCTGACGGTGTCTCTTGATGGTAAAAATGCAACAGGCCCGAGGGAATACTGACATTTTTGTATGCCTTTGTTTTCTTCTTGGTTTTTTTTTTCCTCGAGCTCAGAGAAGCACCTCCCAATTCACATGCCTTCCTCCTCCATCACTTACAGCTGAGAGCCCAGGAGGAGGGAGTGCTACAACGTGGTTTTTCTTTATCACCTCCTCCCTCAGTCTAGCTCTCTGCATTCGCCACCCCTTGGCTCTTCTGTGTCATGTGGCTGAAGCTGTGGGGTCTCTCCAGGGGAAATGTCCTCCCAGAAAGTGTTTAGGGGTGGATTCGAGGCTCCCGATATGTCTTAGGTCCCTGAGTAGGGATGAATTGTGCCCAGATCAACTCTCCTGGCAAAGATTGGACATGCTTAGGCCCTTGGGCAGCATTTTCAGGAATTCAGTGCTTCCCAAATGCCCTGTGTGTCACTTGCCCAGTTACTCTTTTGGTCATTCCCCTCCCAGGACTGATGAAACATTTCCCACCTCCACCCCACACCCACCTTCCATAATCCATAACCTCCTCTTTCCCATGTCCAGATTTAAGGGACAGTCAGTGGAGTGGGGAGGGGTCGGAGGGTGTCTGAGACGATCGTCTGATAGCAGCTGAGAGTGGAGAGGGTGAAAGAAGAGCAGCTTCAGCTGGCGGCCAAGCAATTTGAGGGACTGGTGGAGGTCCTGGAGCTGAGCTCCTGATGAAATCCTGTGTTCTTCTGCTCTGAAGGACATTTTTGGGGTCCAGAGCTAGAGGAGAATGGAGAAAAGAATTGACTGTGAGATCAGCCTGTGGATTAAACAAACAAGCGACAGATTTGCTGTGGGTTTCCCTGAATTGAATTGCCTCTGATAATCTGGTCTTGCACAACTAGTTCCCCCCAAGGTTTAGAGTACGCACCTCATCTACTGCTTGAACCCCCTAAATGGAGGTAGCAGACCAGCAAGGGGTGGGGTTTGAAGTTATTCTGTTCCTTACTATTGTGTGCCTGCTGACAAGTCTCTTAGCCCTTCTGGACCTCAGTTTCCCCATCTAAAGAGGAGACTAATAAGGCAACTTACCATATAGTGTTGTAGAGATTCAGTGAGACAATGCCATGTAAAGCAGCTGGTACCCAGTGCATAGGGCTTAACAAATTATTGCTAATGCTAATGCTGTTAGTATGATTGCCACTACCTACTCTGAAACAACTTATTTGACTTCCCAAGAATTGCTCCCTCCTCTGTGTTACTCCAGCCCTTTAGCCTCTGTTTACAACCTTGATTTTTCTTTTTTTTTTTTTTTTTTTTGAGACTGGGTCTTGCTCTGTCACCCAGGCTGGGGTGCAGTGGTGCGATCTCGGCTCACTGCAACCTCCACTTCTGGTACAACCCTGATCTTCCTGTATGATCGTTGTTGAGATGGCTTTCTCCCTTGGCACACTGTGCACTCTCCGGGGCCAGGGTCTGTGCTTTTTTGCTATTACGTCATTCTTAATGCCTAGCACATATCATAGGAGCTCAGTAAATATTTGTAGAATGGATGAGTGGGCAAATGGGTCAGAATATCTGAGATCATGGCCTGTTTCTGCAGGCAGGCTAAGAAACTTTCCCCATAGGCTCTTTACCTGTTGGTGTAAAGCCCTTTTGGGCAAAGCCCCACCTGGGCTCACCTGGTCAGTAAACATTGATTCCGTGGTTCCATCTGGCTGTGGTGACTTAGCACTTACAAGCTGGCTAGCTCCTTGTGGATTACGGCTCTGTGAGTGTTTCCTAGGCCCCATACTGCCAAGTCGGGGCAGCTCTCTCTTCTCTCATCCATAAAGCCAGGCCAAGCTCCTCATTTTCCCTGTGAGCACCAAGCTCATAAACCTATTTGTCCTTTGCCTTTCTTTCCTCTTTCCCTAGCCCTACCACTGCCATTCAGGAAGTATTTATTAAGCACCTACTATGTACAGGGTACCAGACCATATACTTGAGCCCTTGATCACATACTATCTTATATGACTTGAGTTATGTAATTTGGGCTTCCTCAACAAGACTGTAAGCTCCTAGAGGGCGAGGGAGCGTGTCTTCTGCTGCTTCTGTCTGCCTTATAGCACCTACAGAAGAACCCAGCATGGTCATGTGAGTAAATCCTTGGTGACTTGCCTTCTAGGCTCACAAGTTCAATGTGAGCTCTTTCTCCGGGGAAGGATGAGAACAAGGAGAGTACAGCTCAGTTGGCTGTGTGGTCTCAGTATGGACCTAGTCTTGGGGCTCTTGCATGCCAGGGAGGGAGAAGGGCCAGTGATCCCAGACCCTTTGGTACTCCTTTATCCTCTCTATCCACACAGAACCCCCCTCATTCCACTTCCCCTTCTTCCAAAGGCTCTTCCCCTCAGCAGTAACTATGAATAGCGAATAGTTTGGTAATCTGTGTGTCTGCTTATTATTCTGCTTATTTTCTCTCTTTGTTCCCTATGCATTCAGCCATGTCATTGTTACCCTCTATTGTGAATTTCTGAACAGCAGAGGCTTGGACTAGGCCTCTTATCCTCACATGGTTTGGGAACTTAATAAATGCTTGTTGGTGATGATGACAGTGAGGGACATTGCAGGGTGAGGGCCTGGGGCCCCAGAGACGAACAGCAGTTGGGTTGTGTAACACTCAGTGCCTTTCTTCTGCAGTTCTCAGCTTTCGTTTGCCTTCGGTTTCAGGCCCACCTGCCGTTTGCTGTCATTGGCAGCACAGAAGAACTGAAGATAGGCAACAAGATGATGAGGGCGCGGCAGTATCCTTGGGGCACTGTGCAGGGTGAGTGAGTCTCCGGGAAGGGCTACACACAGGAAGCCCCTTTTGTCTGTCTCTTTGTTTGTCCCCAGCCACTATATGACAAGTTTCTAAATTGTCCCAAGTCTCTGCTCATTCGGCATGGGTCCCAAATAGCCATAGGGGTCACTAGCAAGCTAACTCTGGCTCCATACTGGGATGCTCTGATGGGAGCAAGCTCCCTCTAATTTCTAATGGGAAAGGTATTCCTAAAACACAAGGACTTGCAAGGTAGGAAGGAGTGTGCGAAAAAGCATGTGTTCTTGCCCAAGTGCACCTGAAGAATGTTCACAGTAGTGTTGTTTGTAATGACAAATAATTACAAACAATTCAGATATTCTTTAAAATAGACTGGATAGGCCGGGCACAGTGGCTCACGCCTGTAATCCCAGCACTTTGGGAGGCCGAGGCGGGCGGATCACGAGGTCAGGAGATTGAGACCATCCTGGCCAACATGGTGAAACCCCATCTCTACTAAAAATACAAAAAAAAAAAAAAAAAAAAAAAAGACTGGATAGTGGGAGGGTGGGAGGGGGATAAGGGATTTAAAAAAACTACGTGTTGGGGCTGGGCGCGGTGGCTCACTCCTGTAATTCTAGCACTCTGGGAGGCCGAAGAAGGCGGATCACCTGAGGTCAGGAGCTCGAGACCAGCCTGGCCAACATGGTGAAACCCCGTTTCTACTAAAAATACAAAAAAAAAAAAATTAGTCAGGTATGGTGGCATGTGCCTGTAGTCCCAGCTACTCAGGAGGCTGAGGCAGGAGAATCGCTTGAACCCGGGAGGTAGAGATTGCAGTGAGCTGAGATTTTGCCACTGCATTCCAGCCTGGGCGACAGAGTGAGATTCAAAAAAAAAGAAAGAAAGAAACATACCATTGGATTCCCTTTGTATGAATTCCAAAAGGAGGCAAAACTAAACAAGATATATATTCTTAGGAATGCATACATAAGAGGTAAAACTATAAAGAAAAACAAAGGAATGATAATCCCCAAAGTCAGGAGAAGGATTAAGTCTCTGCCAGGGGAGTTGAGGGATAGAGGGGGATGAGATTGGGAAAGGGCACTCAGGGGCTTCCAAGGTACTGGTAATGTTTAACCTGAGTTGTGGAGACATTGGTGTTAATTTTTCAAAAATTCTTTAAATTGTACATACACATTTCATGCTCTTTGTATGTATGATTATTTCACAATTGAAAAGCAATTAGACATATTGTATTACACTCAGGAAAGTTCCTTCTGTGATCTGCCTGACATATGTTAACTTACCCTCAGGGCTAGTCAGTTCAGTGCACAAGACAAGGCCAAGGATGGCGCTGTGGGTAGAAGAGGTCTCTGGTCCTCAGAGTCTACAGCTAGAAACTGGGCCGTGGCTGATAGGGGCATCGTGTGAAAGAGTGGCTGGTTCTCTGTAAACTCATCCCTACCACTGGGGAAACACCTGAAAGTGGATGGCGAGTTGTCCACATCACATACGAAGGCTGGCATGTTTTAGGACACCCCACACACCCACTGGCAATAGCTGGATTTTCCATAGGTAGGACAAGACTGGTTATCAGAGCTGTGCTAAGTTCTGGTCTTCTCTGCTGTTCGGAGCTGGGGATGCTCCACTAGGAACGTTTGCAAATGGTTTCTGGACCCACAGTGTCCCACCCTGGGAATGGACTTGT
Organism: Homo sapiens; assembly: GCF_000001405.40. Classification (NCBI taxonomy): domain Eukaryota; kingdom Metazoa; phylum Chordata; class Mammalia; order Primates; family Hominidae; genus Homo; species Homo sapiens. The sequence continues at coordinate 90,009 of NW_025791817.1, read as the reverse complement.
GGTCTGAGAAACAGGAACCTGAAGTGAGACGAGGAGAAGCCAGTAGACATGGTTCCAATGACTTATTTCATCTGATGTGGACTACTCTGAACCTAAACAGAAAAGGGGGTTTTGAAAGTTTTTCTTGTAAGTCTAAGTTGACTGTTCCGCTTGAATGAGGAAGAAGTTGTATATTGCTCAGGCAGCCTGCAGGGCCCTCGGAGGCACTCCTTCTGACTCACCATTAGAGATCACTGTCCAGAGATGGAGGAGGAGATGGCATATAGCATAGTCCTGAGAAGTTGTCTTACTGATGTCATCTTTAATATTAGCCTGTGTTCTATGACAGCAGGGGGCTTTATTCCTAATTCAGTGGGTCTTAAGCAGAGGGATTATGTGAGCTGATTCGGGCTTTGGAAAGATTAATGACCACAAGGTAGTCTGCTTCAACTATGGCTGACCCACTTATCCCAGACCCTTCTCTGCCCTCACTACCCTCTTCCAGACCCTGCAAGACAGAATCTGGGGTGATTGCCTGTTCACTTCAGACACCATTTTTCCTACTTGTTCAGGGCAAATACCACCATCCGACACAGTGAAGCCATACCTGTAGCCACCTTGACAAAGTGCTCCTCGTGACCTGGTCCAGCCAGAAATCGATTTTGCTATGACTTGGTCCACATCTGTCATTCTTGACCACTGCCCCAAATTGCAGACCTTTGCTTGCACTCTTTTGAGGAGGGGACTTGTTCACACAGGCCAGAAAGTGGGGTCCCCTTGCTCCTAGTCACCACTGCTACTGTCAGGCCATTATCTACCTTCTAAAGAAACCACCTCCTTGGAAGCTTCTACCATCCAGGTGGGCCATGCCTGCGGTCCACACCCCTCCTTGTCACTGTCATCTATCAATATCCTAGTTCTTTCCCCTTATTCTTTGGAGACTTTGTCACCTCCCCTACATTGCCTGGGTTTGAACCCTAATTCTGCAACTTACTAGCTACATAACCTTGCCTAGCCTCATTGACACTTTGCAAACACCATTCCCTTCTCTGGCTGATAAATTGCTATTCTTCCTTCCAGAGTCATCTTAGAGATTTTCTCTTCGGTGAAGTCTTCACTTTCCCAGGAGTTCTTAGGTTCCCCTCTTCTGAGCTTTATTGCAACTTGGCTATCCCTCTATTTTTGTAGTTGTGCACTGAATTGTATTTGTCTATTTGTATCTATTCTTCCTCTAAACTATAAGCTCCTGAGAGCAAGATTCCATCACTTCGTTTCTGAATTCCCAGTGCCTCACACAATACTGGGAACAGAGATTCCACAAATATTGATTGGATGGATGGATGGATGGATGGATGGATGGATGGATGGATGGATAGATAGATGGATGGATGAGTGGATGGATGGATGGATAGATGGATGGATGGATGGATGGATGAGTGGATGGATGGATGGATGGATGGATGGATGGATAGATGGATGGATGGATGAGTGGATGGATGGATGGATGGATGGACAGATGCATATATGCTGTTGTCCTACAAGTGGTGCAGACCAAACATTCTTTTGAGGGTTCTGACTGCTGAATTTAGATTGTGGTGCTACTGACTGTCTTAATAAGTATTTTTATGATATCACAGTTTTTCATTACTGGCATTTTTGTAACCTTTCATTTACATTTTCAGTAGAAAAGAGAGGAGGTAAATTTGCAGGATCTAAATACACAGATTGCAAGGCAACGTCACTGTTAGACATTTTGCCTCTCGTTTCATCCATTTCTGCTTCTGCTGGCCTTCCTTTCAACATACTTTCAATACCCCAAATCCTGCTATGCAGTTGAAAACGAGGCCCACTGCGACTTTGTGAAGCTGCGGGAGATGCTGATTCGGGTCAACATGGAGGATCTGCGGGAGCAGACCCACACCCGGCACTATGAGCTGTATCGCCGCTGTAAGCTGGAGGAGATGGGCTTCAAGGACACCGACCCTGACAGCAAACCCTTCAGGTACCGCTCCTGCCAGCCCAGCCCAGCCCAGCCCAGCTCAGCTCAGCCCACTCAGGTGGTGTGGAAGCCTTCCCCTGGAGAATTCACAGGGGAGGCGAGACACGGGTGCTAAGACCTCAAGGAGCAGGGGCGACTCACTTGCCAGTTCTGCTTGCCTGTTCACCCTTTGCCTCTGCACACCTGCCAGGAGAGCTGTGGGGAGCAGGCTTGGGAAGTACCGCCGCCTTGCTTTTAAGGGCAAGGGAAGGGAGGATGCCCAGAGGACCAGCAAGGCTGATCACCACACACACATGCACGCATCCATGACAGCTCCAAGCAGCTGCGCTGGGGGGAATCCCCAAGCTGGGGCCCTGTTCCACGAGGTGGCAGTTGGTAACTGTCCTCTGCCCCTCTTTCTTCATCAGGCTCCTGGCGCTCAGACAGGTTTCTAGTCTGTTCTTTACCCATTTCCCCATTCTCAAACCCAGATAGGACCAGGTAGCATGCCCTTGCCATGCATCGATGAACTGCAGGCTCTCCAATTGCTGTCCTTAGTGTCTGCATTCAAGTGCAAGTTCTGTTTTGACCGCAGGATGTTGATCATCACTGCCATATTTCTTAAATCAGAATGCTTTTAGAGAAGGGGAATGTTTTTGAAAGCAGGTTATTATGCAGAGAGGAGTAATGCGCCAAGTAGAAGTGTCTGATCTATATGCGTGATGTGTGAAATAAGCCCCACAGTTGAAATTACCACGTGGTGCCCTTTATGGTGGTCAGGCATTAATAAGCAAGTGAGGGAGATGTCTACCAGTTAAAAAGGCTTTCAAAGAGCCTCTGAGATCTTACTCTACCTGTGCACAGCCTAAAGCTGGCCTGGAGTCAGAGCCTAACCAGTCCCTTGGGGATATTTGCTTCAGGAGGGACAGGCTCATGCCCTATATACTGACAGGTGGGGCTGGGGGAAGCCATGCTTGTCTTTTTCTGGTGGGAGCTCCCTGGCTGTCTTCCCCACCTGCAGCTTTCATCTGCATTTGTAGAGGAGTAGGTGTGCCTCCACCTGGTCATTTTGTCTCCTTCCCTCCTCCTTCACTCCATCCTGAATACCTCTGTTTCCTGTGTCTTCGCCTTCTTCACTCCTTCTCTGCCAGCTCCTTCCCATGCTGCATGTAAGCATTCTTGTGCTGAAGAAACTCTCCCTTAACCCTGCTCTTTCTTACCAGCCTCTGTCCTGTCAAGAAGTCCTTGACAGGATGAGGAGAAAGAGTTGTTCTATGTTTACTGGTTCCTCTTCCCCATCTCTCATTCATTCCTCAATCCACTGCAGTCTGGCTTCTGTCCCCAGCATAACCACTCAAATGCCTCTCTCCAAGGCCAGGAATCGCAGACTTGTGGCCAAGTTCAATGTGGCCTTTGGTTTCCATCTTATTTGATATCAACGCAGCACTTTATGCCATTCCCCACTGCCTCCTTGAAATGCTCTCTGCCTTTGGCTTTTCTAGCACTGGCCTGGCTGATTCTATTCCTATCTCTCCTACTATTTCTTCTCAGCCTCCTTTGCAGGCTCGTTTTCTTCACCTTACTCCTTTAAATGTTGATATACCCCCCGGGATTCTTTCCTAGAGCCTCTGCTCCTTTCACTTTCTGTTCTCTTTGCAGCTGGTTCTTTCTACTCTCACAGCCCTAATTACCACCTAGAAGTAGATGGTTCCCAAGCTAGTCTTACTTCTGAGGTCTAAACCCATTAATCCAACTGCATCCTGGATGTCCACTCAGACATCCCATAGAGGACCTCCCCGAAAATCAAGCTCTGTACAAATTCATCTTCTGCCCTCTTAAGCATGTGTCTCCAACATTCCCTGTTGCCATTCATGATACCACCATCCACCTGGTTGCCCAAGGATAATCAGAATTACCTTTGGCTCCTCCCAAGTCCTGGGAGTTCTGCTTCCCTTACTGCTCCCTCCATTCCCTCCCAGCCCTTAACATTAAGATCCTATCACTTCTTCTTTTCTTTTCTTTCTTTTTTTTTTTTTTTTTTTGAGACAGAGTCTTGCTCTATCGCCCAGGCTGGAGTACAATGGCACAATCTCGGCTCACTGCAATCTTGGCTTCCCGGGTTCAAGCGATTCTCCTGCCTCAGCCTCCCCAGTAGCTGGGATTACAGGCGCCCACCACCTCACCCAGCTAATTTTTGTATTTTTATTAGAGATGGGGTTTCACCATATTGGCCAGGCTGGTCTTGAACTCCTGACCTCAAGTGATCTACCCACCTTGGCCTCCCAAAGTGCTGAGATTACAGGCATGAGCCACCACACCTGGCCAAGATCCTGTCACTTCTTACTTGGATTGATGGACAGTCTATCCTTCCCACAGCACAGCCGGAATGGTCCTTCTCATTTTCAAATTGGATCTAGTACTACTTCCTGCTTTAAAACCATGCAGTGTGTACATATCCAATTTTTAAATATGGCATTCAAAGCCTGTTCTCTTCCTCCAGGCTCAGGAACTTTGTCTGCCTCTACTCCACCACTGCCATGGTGCTCTCTGGCCATGTTGAACCATACCTGGCTCCCCAAGAATGTCATTCTCTCTTCACACCTGCTTTCTTACATGCTGCCCTCTTTGGATCACAGTTCCACCTCTTCTTCACCAGGCTATTGCTTTTTTTTTTTTTTTTTTGAGATGGAGTCTCACTCTGTCACACAGGCTGGAGTGCAGTGGCGCAATCTCGGCTCACTTCAACCTTCGCCTAGCAGGTTCAAGTGATTCTCCTGCCTCAGCCTCCCGAGTAGCTGGGATTACTGGCGCCCACTACGACGCCTGGCTAATTTTTTGTATTTTTTAGTAGAGATGGGGTTTCACCATGTTGGCCAGGCTGGTCTCGAACTCCTGACCTCAGGTGATCCACCCGTCTTGGCCTCCCAGAGTGCTGGAATTACAGGCGTGAGCCACTGCACCCAGCCTATCTCCTATTTCTTTAAAAATAAGCTTAGGCCAGGGGCATCTCCCACTAGACCATGAGTTCCTTGATGGCAGGTATGATGGCTGTTGGCTCTAGAGGCTGAGTGACTAGCATCATGTCAATTAGTACTGAGTCTAGCACATATGGAGTCTCCTCAAGCATTTGTTGAAATAGTTCATTAATGTGGTCAGTTTCAGAGCCAGGGCCTGGCAGCATTGTGCAGTGGGAAAACCCAGATGAAGAGACAGGAGACTCAGCTTCTGGTCAAAGTTCTCCCTCTAACTAGCCGTGGGGCCTTGAGTAAGACACCTCACCTCTCTGGGCCTCAGTTTTCTCATCCGTAGAACAAGAGTATAGAACCAGATATTCTAAGTCTCTCCAGTTCACTAGGGTTGCCCCATCCCCCTCCAGAATCCCTGTGGGCATGCTGTCATGGGCCAAGCCAGGTGCCCACAGCTTTGTGGTTCTATTTTTGTACCTGGCTCACAACTGGGGAAGGGAGGACAGAGGAACCCAGTGAGGATCTTTGGGGCCAGTTTTATCAAATAGGAATCATTCCAAAGGAAGAAGAATTAACCTGACCATGTTCGCAGTTTACAGGAGACATATGAGGCCAAAAGGAACGAGTTCCTAGGGGAACTCCAGAAAAAAGAAGAGGAGATGAGACAGATGTTCGTCCAGCGAGTCAAAGAGAAAGAAGCGGAGCTCAAAGAGGCAGAGAAAGAGGTAAATGTGAGCCTGGTGATTATTAAAATGTCAAGAAACAACAGCTGCTGGTGAGACTGTGGAAAAATAGGAACGCTTTTACACTGTTGGTGTGAATGTAAATTACTTCAACCACTGTGGAAGACAGTGTGGTGATTCCTCAAAGACCTAGAATCAGAAATGCCATTCGACCCAGCAATCCTATAGATCACTTTATTATAAAGATACACACACACATATGTTCACTGCAACACTATTCACAATAGGAAAGACATAGAATCAACTCAAATGCCCATCAATGATAGATTGGATAAAGAAAATGTGGTACATATACACCATGGAATACTATGCAGCCATAAAAAGGAATCAGAGGATGTTCTTTAGAAGGACATGAGTGGAGCTGGGAGCCATTATCTTCAGCAAACTAACACAGGAACAGAAATCCAAACATTGGGCCGGACACTGTGGCTCACGCCTGTAATCCCAACACTTTGGGAGGCCGAGGTAGTTGGATCACCTGAAGTCAGGAGTTCGAGACCAGCCTGGCCAACATGGTGAAACCCTGTCTCTACTAAAAATACAACAATTAGTGGAGTGTGGTGGCACATGCCTATAGTCCCAGCTACTTGGGAGGCTGAGGCAGGAGAATCGCTTGAATCTGGGAAGTGGAGGTTACAGTGAGCTGAGATCATGCCACTGCACTCCAGCCTTGGTGACAGAGCAAGACTCCATCTCAAAAACAAAAAAAAAGAAAGGAAACACTTAATTACTTCACGATTCTCTTCCACATTTAACCTGTCACACTCTCAAGGGTTCTCACCAAAGCCCATGACAAGGGTATTGATTTTTTTTTTCAGTTTCACTTAAAAAAAAAAAATGTCTGTTGGCTGGGCGCGGTGGCTCACGCCTGTAATCCCAGCACTTTGAGAGGCCAAGGCGGGCGGATCACAAGGTCAAGAGTTCGAGACCATCCTGCCTAACACGGTGAAACCCCGTCTCTACTAAAAATACAAAAAAATTAGCCGGGCGTGGTGGCGGGCGCCTGTAGTCCCAGCTACTCGGGAGGCTGAGGCAGGAGAATGGCGTGAACCCGGAAGGCGGAGCTTGCAGTGAGCCGAGATCGCGCCACTGTACTCCAGCCTGGGCGACAGAGCGAGACTCTGCCTCAAAAAAAAAAAATGTCAGACAGGTGCCTTGGCTCAGGTCTGTAATCCCAGCACTTTGGGAGGCTTAAAGCGAGGGGATTGCTTGAGCCCAGGAGTTTAAGACCAGCCTGGGCAACATACTGAGACCCTGTTTCTATTAAAAATAGAAAAAATTGGCTGGGCGCAGTTGCTCACACCTGTAATCCCAGCACTTTGGGAGGTCGAGGTGGGTGGATCACGAGTTCAGGAGTTTGAGGCCAGCCTGGCTAATATGGTGAAACCCTGTCTCTGCTAAAAATACAAAAATTAGCCAGGTGTGGTGGTACGCACCTGTAGTCCCAGCTACTTGGGAGACTGAGGCAGAAGAATTGCTTGAACCCAGGAGGCGGAGGTTGCAGTGAGCCGAGATTGTCCCACTGGACTCCAGCCTGGGCAACAGAGCGAGACTCCATCTCAAAAAAAAAAAATAATTACAAATACAAAAAATTAGCCAGGCATGGTTGCACGTGCCTGTAGTCCCAGCTACCCAGGAGGCTGAGGTAGGAGGAATGCTTCAGCCGAGAGATCGAGGCCACTGCATTCCAGCCTGCGTGACAGAGTGAGACTCTGTCTCAATAAAAAAAACAAAAATGTCACCCAGCACTTTTAGGAGGAGAAGTGAGGGGATCTCAAAGACAAATGAATAAAAGTGCAACAAACAAAAACCAGGTTAAGGCAATTGATAGGCAGCCCTAGTGACTAGTAAGAGCTGCTTTAGGCCAGGCGTGGTGGCTCATGCCTGTAATCCCAACACTTTGGGAGGCCAAGGTGGGCGGATGACAAGGTCAGGAGATCGAGACCATCCTGGCTAACTCAGTGAAACCCCGTCTCTACTAAAAATACAAAAAATTAGCCAGGAGTGGTAGCACGTGCCTGTAGTCCCAGCTACTTGGGAGGCCGAGGCAGGAGAATCACTTGAACCTGGGAGGCGGAGGTTGCAGTGAGCCGAGATTGTGCCACTGCACTCCAGCTTGGGCGACAGAGCGAGACTCTGTCTCAAAAAAAAAAAAAAAAGAAAAGAAAAAAGAAAAGATCTGGTTTATACAGCAAGTCTGTCACTCACCCACCTAAGTGACAGTGCCAAATACCCCCAGGACCCGGAGAACTAACCTTCTTCATCGTATGCTGCAAGTGCTACAGAATCCTAAACTCTCTCCTGAATCCATGAAAGAAAGTGAAATTCGGCTTGCTCTGCTCTTACTATTCAGGGTAGTTTATTGCATTCTAGTTTGTGACTGTCTGTGCCTCTTGTTCTCTGATCCACTTACCACAATGGCATGCCAGAATATTCTTTTTTTTTTTTTCCGAGACAGAGTCTCACTCTTGCCCAGGCTGGAGTGCAGTGGTGCGATCTCGGCTCACTGAAAGCTCCGCCTCCCGGGTTCAAGTGATTCTCCTGTCTCAGCCTCCCAAGTAGCTGGGATTATAGGCAAGCGTCACCACGCCCAGCTCATTTTTGTATTTTTAGTAGAGACGAGGTTTCACCATGTTGGCCATGCTGGTCTAGAACTCCTGACCTTATGCCACCCACCTTGGCCTCCCAAAGTGCTGGGATTGAGCCGACTACTGGGATTACAGCACTCCCAAAGTGCTGGTATTACAGGCGTGAGCCACTGTGCCTGGCCCAGAATATTCTTCTTGTTCTTCTTTGGGTTTCTGGTTCTATTCAGGACTAATTAAGCCTCCCTTTAGTTAAGGCTGAGGTGTCTGTACTCATTCCATGTCATAAAGTCCTTTTTATTTCCTTCCATGTCCAAAGCCAAGTATTTCCTTGACTGGCTTTCCCATACTGAAGTTTTCTCTGAGATCCATGGTGATCCTTCCTGATTGCAGGGGTTAAGAAAAGACAGGGGTTCCTTACACATAAGAGGTCCCATTATATAATGTTCTAAATACTGGGTTGACCATAGTCAAATTCCTTACTTCTCAGACCTTCTGTTTCCTCATAAAATGGAGATAATAACGGAACCTACCTCATAGGAATGTGGTAACAATTAAATAAATTAATATACATAAAGGACTTATAAAAGTCAGTGCTTAGCCTGTAATTACTCGGTAATTTCTTTTTTTATTTTTTGAGACGGAGTCTTCCTCTGTTGCCCAGGCTGGAGTCCAGTGGCACAATCTTGGCTCACTGCAACCTCCGCCTCCTGGGTTCAGGTGATTCTTCTGCCTCAGCCTGCTGAGTAGCTGGGACTACAGGCACATGCCACAATGCCTGGCTAATTTTTGTATTTTTAGTAGAGACGGGGTTTCACCATGTTGGCCAGGCTGGTGTCGAACACCTGACCTCAAGTAATCTGCCCACCTTGGCCTCCCAGAGTGCTAGGATTACAGGCCTGAGCCCGGCCAGCACTCAGTAAATGTTATATTATTATAATTGATGTTATTATTGACCATGTGTGGTAACTATGGGGACTCTTTTTAACAAAATGTCTGACTAAACACAATGCAGTATTCCTTTACCATATTCAGGAGCAGAGACTTGGAGATAAAATGGCAGGAAGAGAGAACGATCCAGAGCATGGTGCCTTTGGTGCCATCATAGCAATCCCTGACAGAAATGCCCCCTGAGGTTCCAGGGTCCTGCAGGGTCACAGCCCTACTGGTCCCCACCCACCTGGGCTTGGCCAGGCTGGGGACTGCTCACAGGGGATTCTCTCCAATCTCCCTGTGCTTCCCTGCCAGCTGCACGAGAAGTTTGACCGTCTGAAGAAACTGCACCAGGACGAGAAGAAGAAACTGGAGGATAAGAAGAAATCCCTGGATGATGAAGTGAATGCTTTCAAGCAAAGAAAGACGGCGGCTGAGCTGCTCCAGTCCCAGGGCTCCCAGGCTGGAGGCTCACAGACTCTGAAGAGAGACAAAGAGAAGAAAAAGTAAGTAGCAGGCTGCTCTGGGGTGGTGCCTTCTCTTTCCTCCTGCTCATCCTCCCAGGGCAGGACGTGGCACCTGAAGGGGCTGAGGACTGGTGACCAGAGGTGAGCTGTGGGCTGTCAGACTGGTTGAGGTACCTATAACTGGTCCCAGCATCCCTGTGGCACCTTTGGATTCCCTGAGCTTGGGGAGTTGAGAGTAGCAGAGGGGTGTGGTCCCAGAGGCCCAGCCCATCTGTCCAGCTTGCTCAGGAAAGCCCTGCAAACTCAAGGTCCATAGGAAAGGAAGGGAAAAGAGGAAAAGCAAAGGAGAGTGAGAGAGCAGAAGGGAAGAAAAAAATTAGAGGTGCAGCAATATAAGAGAGGAACAAGGCCGGGCACGGTGGCTCACACCTATAATCCCAGCACTTTGGGAAGCCAAGGCAGGAGGAACACTTGAGGTCAGGAGTCCAAGACCAGCCTGGCCTATATGGCGAAACCCCGTCTCTGCTTAAAAAAAAAAGAAAAAAAAAATAGGCTGGGCACGGTGGCTCACACCTGTAATCCCAGCACTTTGGGAGGCCGAGGCAGGCAGATCACAAGGTCAGGAGATCGAGACCATCCTGGTTAACACAGTGAAACCCCATCTCTACTAAAAATACAAAAAAATTAGCTGGGTGTGGTGGTGGGTGCCTGTAGTCCCAGCTACTCGGGAGGCTGAGGCAGGAGAATGGGGTGAACCTGGGAGGCGGAGCTTGCAGTGAGCAGAGATCGTGCCACTGCACTCCAGCCTGGGCGACAGAGCGAGACTCCGTCTCAAAAAAAAAAAAAAAAAAAGAGTTCAAGACCAGCCTGAACAACATGGTGAAACCCTGTCTCTACTAAAAATACAAAAATTAGCCAGGCGCGGTGGCGCGCGCTTATAATCCCAGCTACTCAGGAGGCTGAGGCAGGAGAATTGCTTGAACCCAGGAGGCAGAGGTTGCAGTGAGTTGAGATCGCACCACTGCCCTCCAGCTTGGGCGACAGAGCGAGACTCCATCTAAAAAAAAAAAAAAAATACAGAAATTAGCTGCCTGTAGTCCCAACTACTCAGGAGGCTGAGGCAGGAGAATCACTTGAACCCGGGAGGTGTAGGTTACAGTAAGCTGAGATCACACCACTGCACTCCAGCCTGGGCAACGGAGTGAGACTCCATCTGAAAAAAAAAAAAATAGAAAAGAAAGAGAGGAACAAAAAGAACTGCAGCTACGGGCCGGGCGTGGTGTAATCCCAGCACTTTGGGAGGCCAAGGCGGGTGGATCACTTGAGTTCAGGAGTTCGAGACCAGCCTGGCCTACATGATGAAACCTTGTCTCCACTAACAATACAAAAAATTAGCCAGGCGTGGTGGCGTGCGCCTGTAATCCCAGCTACTTGGGAGGCTGAGCAGGAGAATTGCCTGAACTGAGGAGGCAGAGGTTGCAGTGAGCTAAGATAGCACCATTGCACTCCAGCCTGGGCGACAGATTGAGACTCTGTCTCAAAAAAAAAAAAAAAAAAAAAAAAAAGAAGTGCAGATACAGGATAGTGGAAGAAAGAGAGAGCCTTTAGCAGAAACTCGGTGCACCCTCTCCCCACCCTTGCCCTATATCTGAGGTTGCTCACCTCTCCATGGCCGTAGTCCCACCCTCACCCTGCCTCAGTTATTACTCTCTGCAGCCAACAGAATTTAACTGCTGCCAGTGAAGGCTGCAGCTCAGCCCTGATTTCCCACCCCTTTGTGATCCCTCCCTGCTGGCTTAGTTCTGCCTAGCCTGGGGTGCTGAGAACTTATGGGGGAGCCCTCAGATGCCAGTGTATGCTGCATGTGCCCCATCCTCAATCTGTGGAATGACTGTAAGACCTTCTGATCTCCCCTGGTATTAGAACAGTGGCTCCTGGATACCATGTGGGTCAATAATCCTCACCCAACCCCAGTCTCTGCTTGCTGAAGTTACCCATTCCTCATCCCAGAACTGGAGAAAAATATTTCAACGGGATCTAGAAAAACTCCTGTGGTGCCCTTGTGCCCTGCAGTTGTTTGTGCAGTGTGGCTTGAGGAGTTCCCAGGTGGACTGTTTAGCTGTGTCTTTACTGAAGGGTACTGAGGATCCAAAAGGTGTCCATGGTCATTGCCTTCTGTTTTCAGCCATTTGTTCCTGGACTTAACTATGGGATATTTTTGCCAGAAGGAAGAAACACCTTCCTTTCCTCTGGCTTATCACTTAGGAATAACATGGTAACTTTTGCATAACAGTAAAATATGTTATATTTGAAGGCATTCAGCTTTGCAATCCAATTACTCTTTATGCAAATGTGTAATTTAAACATCTTGGCCGGGTACGGTGGCTCACGCCTGTAATCCCAGCACTTTGGGAAACTGACGCAGGCAGATCACCTGAGGTCAGGAGTTTGAGACCAGCCTGGGCAACATGGCGAAACCCCGTCTCTACTAAAAATACAAAAATTAGCTGGGCATGGTGGCCCACACCTGTAGTCCCAGCTACTCAGGAGGCTAAGGCAGGAGAATCACTTGAGCCTGGGAGGTGGAGGTTGCAGAACCAAGATCATGCCACTGCACTTCAGCCTGGGTGACAGAGTGAGACTTTGTCTAAAAAAAAAAAAAGAACATCTTCACCAATTAGTCCAGAAATTTTTCTTACTGAATCTTAATACTATATGTCAAATTCACTGATGAATGAAATTTTTTGGTATTACCTGATGGATAAAGTTCAACTAGCCAGAAAAAAGTCTCTTTGGACACACCCTGTACTGTATTAACTTATCTGTCATGGTGTATTAGTTGCACCAGCAGGAATGAATTCCTATTTTTAAGATCAGAAAAATCTAAATTTGTCATCCAGCTGTAACCTGCTGCCTTCATAGTCCTGTGGTATTTGTTAACTCAGTACCTGGGGCAGTTTCATAGCCTGCTTGTGGGAGTTAGGAATTGGTTTGTTCAGGCTACAATGAAACTATAAATATTCCCTATTCAGATGTTCAGTAAAAGTTCTTCTTACATCAAGCTTTCCCCTTGTTGCCTCATACTGACTGACTTCTCCCACCCCAGGCAGGAGACCCCAACAGGGAGATACCCCTCTCTACTCTTCAGGAATATTTGGGGTTGGTGACAGTGCCCCTTTCCAATTCTGAAATGGGTGAAAACCCTGCTGGCATGTGGCACCTTATATTAGCAATAAGGGCCTAACAGAATGACCTGTCTTCTTCTGTACTTCCAGATGCAGAAGTGGCCCTGAATCTTGGCTTCTTATGTAATTTCATGAGCAATTTGTTAACTTCTGGAAGAGCCACCGTTAGACCTGTGCTACCCTCCTCCCATAGTCACGGTAGTGAGTTTTGAGGGCAGAAATGGTGGTAGTAGTATTTCTTCTTGAGAGATGGTGGTTGGATCTAAGAGTCACATATTCAGAATTTCCTTTAGCTGCCCCTAAAGAGATTAAGAAAGTACTGGCCAGCCGTGGTGGCTCATGCTTGTAATCCCAATACTTTGGGAGGCCAAGGCGAAGGATTGCTTGAGTCCAGGAGTTTGAGATCAGCCTGGGCAACATAGTGAGACCTTTGTCTCTACAAAAAAAATAAATAAATAAACATTAGCTGGGCCTGGTGGCACTTGCCTATAATCCCAGCTACTCAGGAGACTGAGGTGGGAGAACTGCTTGAACCCGGGAGGTTGAGGCTGCAGTGAGCCATGATTGCGCCACTGCACTCCAGTCTGGGCAACAGAGAGAGACCCTGACTCAAAAAAAAAAAAAAAAGAGTATCAGTGTTTCAGGGGTTCCTACCAGTCCACCCTTCCCACTTCCCCTTCCTGCTACTCCTAATCACCTTTGACCTCTAACCCTTCATTGTTTGTGTCAAGTCATAATATTTGATTTCCCCTCATGCTCACTCCATCTTCATCAGCTCTTACTGTTTTACAGTTAACTCTGCTGTTTGCTGCATGCTGCATGAGACCCAGGGTCCTGGTAAGCTTGATTAACTCTAAATAGAACTGGCAGTGGCTTCTAGAACATATCTCCCCCAATCCCGCACCCCCAACACAAGCATCTAATCGTAGAAGAAGCTGCTTCATTGGTCTAGCTGGTTTTCTCTCGTGACTTATAATATGCAGAAATAGTCTGGTGTGGTTTCAGGTGTACATGTGGAATGCCTGCCTGCCTGCCTGATTAAAGTGAGGGGTCGTTTTCAGACTTTTGCTGCTAGAACAGCTGGGTAACACAGGTGGATCCTGTGATCAGTATTTGAGGTTTCAGTGTGGGAAGTTTTTTTCTTAAAGAGCCATAATCGGGCCGGACGCAGTGGCTCACAGACCTGTAATCCCAGCACTTTGGTAGGCCGAGGAGGGCAGATCACCTGAGGTCAGAAGATTGAGACCATCCTGGCTAACACGGTGAAGCTCCATCTCTACTAAAAATACAAAAAATTAGCCGGACATGGTGGCACAGGCCTGTAATCCCAGCTACTCTGGAGGCTGACACAGGAGAATCGCTTGAACCTGGGAGGCGGAGGTTGCAGTGAGCCGAGATTGCACCATTGTACTCTAGCCTGGGCAACAAGAGCGAAACTCCATCTCAAAAACAAAAGGAGCTATAACCATTATTTTCAAAATTAATGAAACCGTGGTGATGAGAGAAACTGGGTTTCACAAGCTCCGTCCTGCAATGTCACAGTCAGCATCAACCCTCTCCCATCCCCCTGCATCAGGTTTGAGAATGTCCAGAGTCAATGGAAACTCACTTCTCTGTTTCCCGCTGGTGGCAGTTTCATATCTGAGGGGTTCAAGTCCTCAAATTTCCTTTGACTGTACCCCTCAAAACCATAATAAGGCTGAGAGCAGTGGCTCACGCCTGTAATCTTAGCACTTTGGGAGGCCGAGGCGGGCGGATCACCTGAGGTCGGGAGTTCGAGACCAGCCTGACCAACATGGAGAAATCCTGTCTCTACTAAAAATACAAAATTAGCCGGGCGTGGTGGTGCATGCCTGTAATCCCAGCTACTCGGGAGGCTGAGGCAGGAGAATTGCTTGAACCTGGGAGGCGGAGGTTGCAGTGAGCCGAGATCGCACCTTTGCACTCCAGCCTGGGCAATAAGAGCGAAACTCCGTCTCAAAAAAACAAACAAACAAACAAACAAAAAAAAAAACAAAAAAAAAAAACCCATAATAAAAGCGGAGGAAAATGAAGAGATCTTAGAAATTATAGAGAATTCCTTACATTTAATCCTACAAGTACTGGCTTCATGAAAACCTCTTATAAGGAGATCAGCAGGTAAGGATTCCTGAGTGCTAGATGTTGTGTTAATAGAAGTTTATAAAGTTTCACATAGTTTATAGGGAGACTGAAAGCAGGGATTAAGGACCTTCTATCTCCTCTACTAGACTCAGGTAGTGGATGGAAAGGAAATACAAACATTTTTAATTTAACATAATTAGGGTTTTTTTTGTTTGTTTGTTTCTTTTTTTGAGACGGAGTCTCACTCTGTCACCGAGGCTGGAGTGCAGTGGCACAACCTCAGCTCCCTGCAACCTCCGCCTCCTGGGTTCAAGCAATTCTCATGCCTCAGCCTCCCAAGTAGCTGGGATTATAGGCATGTGCCACCATTCCTGGCTAATTTTTGTATTTTTAGCAGAGACCGGGTTTCACCACGTTGGCCCAGGCTGGTCTCAAACTCCTGACCTCAGGTGATCTGCCTACCTTGGCCTCCCAAAGTGCTGAGATTACAGGCGTGAGCCACCGCGCCCGATGAAGGGTTATTATTATTTTTTTTAAACTTTACCGTGGAAACTTTCAAACATGAGCAAAATAAGAGGATAATACAGTTCAGCCCCCAGGCAACCATAAACATATGCCTAATCTTGTTTCATCAATTACTACAGACCTGCTGAATTATTATAAAGCAAAACTATATCATTTTATCTGTAAATACTTTAGTATATATTTCCAAGAGATAATGATTCTTTAAAAAAACATAACCACAACCCCACCATTATCACACCTACAAAATGAACAATAATTCATTAACATGAAATGTCTAGTCAGTGTTTGAAACATCCCGGTTGTCTCATAAATGCCCTTTTACATTTGGTTTGTTTGGATCAGGGAATATAAAATATAGAGAAGACTTTTCCCCACTCACCCATGTAGTTTATGATTTAAATGGAGAGCCTGCTGTTAGTCACCAAACTGATTGCCGCAGCTATTGCACTGGGGACTCGGGGCAGCTGGCAAAACATCCTGCTTGGAAGCAAATCCTGAAGAGGAAGTCCATAGAGGTTTCTGCAACATAAGGCCCATGAAACCGGGCCAAAGGAAACAATCTTAAAAGAACAGTGACTTGATTTACTGTCTGGCTTAACAGCAAGTCTTGGAGCCCCTGCTAGTTGACTGGAATTAAACAGCAGATTTCCATTTAGGAAGACAGTCAGTTCCTAGAATGCCTGTCCATTCTTTGCACTGTATGTAGTTCCAGTGCGTAGTGAAGTGTCTGACATGTAATAGGAACTCAGTTCATGTGTTATGTTCTTTGTTCTCCCATTTTTAATGAGGTGAGCAGGAAATATGTATTCTAGTTAATGAGATTTCAGTTAATTCAGGTTTCACTGCACGTGGCTTGACACAGTTGCTTACAGGTTTCCCCAAGTAAATCATTGTTAGTGGCCATTCCTAAAATGAATTCTGGCAAAACTATAATTAAAGCTACACTTTACAAGTGAGAGGCAATTGGTAAACAGCTGGAACAGCCAACCCCAACCCCAAGTAGGTTGGCTCTTCCTGGCAGGATTCTCCCTGGCAGACCACGAAAGCAATTTCAGACCAACGAGTCAGGGGAGGCTTTGGCTCCCCAGGATCTGAAAGCAGCAAAGGCAACCCGCCCCCTCCTCAAAGCCCTCATTCAAGGGGTGGATCACGAAGGCCACCTAGAATGCAGGCAGAGTGAGGCTTACTGTGCCTCCACATTTTGAAATTGCTTGAGGCACTACTTATAGCTCTCTGCATTTGTAAAAGCGATTCCTTTGTGACCCCCTACATCGTTGCAGATACTCTACCTCAATCATTATTGGTCCTTAGGAGTGCACAGTATATGGATAGTATACACACATCAAAATACGTCAGCCTTCCCATGAAACCTAGAACATAGGCCATTGCAGTGTTTTTTAGATTACTCTTCCCCTAGGAAGTAGACAAAGAATAAAAATAAGATATGAGCATTTGTATAGCTTTTATTACTTTCCAAAGTGTTTTTTTTTGTTGTTGTTGTTTTGTTTTTGTTTTTGTCTTTTGTATAGTATCTCATTTTATACTTACAACAGGTCTGTGAGGTAGAGAAGGAATAATCCCCAGTTTGCAAGATGAGTAAATGGAAGCTGGGCGAGGTGGCTCACTTATGTAATCCTAGCACTTTGGGAGGCTGAGGTGGGAGGATCACTTGAGCCCAGGAGTTGGAGACCAGCCTGGGCAGCATGGTGAAACCCTATCTCTCTATTTTTTTTTTTTTTTTTTAAGAGAGTTGGCTGGGCATGATGGCTCACGCCTGTAATCCCAGCACTTTGGAAGGCCGAGGCAGGAGGATCACCCGAGGTCAGGAGTTCAATACCAGCCTGGCCAACATGGTGAAACCCTGTCTCTACTAAAAATACAAAAATTAGCTGGGCATGGTGGCGGGTGCCTATAATCCCAGCTACTTGGGAGGCTGAGGCAGGAGAATTGCTTGAACCCCAGAGGCGGCGGTTGCAGTGAGCCAAGATCGCACCATTGCACTCCAGCCTGGGTGACAGAGCAAGACTCCATCTCAAAAGAAATAAAAATACACACACACACACACACACACACACACACACACACACACACACACACCAGCTCTGGGCCCAGCTGTGACTCTTTGCAGCCACAGGCAAGTCTGTTGACTTCTCTGTGTTTCTTGGTCTACTCATATGAAATGGGGATCAGTTCTACTTGCTGTATTTATGTC
Source organism: Homo sapiens (assembly GCF_000001405.40). Classification (NCBI taxonomy): domain Eukaryota; kingdom Metazoa; phylum Chordata; class Mammalia; order Primates; family Hominidae; genus Homo; species Homo sapiens. Next base: position 72,333 of record NW_025791817.1, on the reverse strand, counting down.
ACAGGAATGAAATTTACATGGAAGAGAGGTCAAAGTATTATTTAAGCACAAACCAATGATGGGTTTCCATAGTTCACATTTTCAGGTAACTGTGGTCTGGACCCTAGAACAGAGTTCTGCAATCATCCCCATATGCTCTGCAAACAGGTCTTGCCCCAGAGTACCAGTTAGCTGACTAGGACAGCTCTAAGGATCTCCTGGGGTGAAACCTCAGCCTCCTCTACTTTCCCAATGGGACAGGAAATGCAGTGGCTAGAGCCTGGGGCTCTATCCAGTGGCCTGAGGCCACTTAGAGATTTGTGGAAGGTATTCCTGTACAAGGTATTGGGTGGTGGTGCTGGGGGTGGGTGGTGGTGCTGGGGGTGGGTGGTGGGGGACACTAGTCAGGACCTAGTCATTAAGAAGAGATAGGCCGGGCTCAGTGCCTCACGCCAGTAATCCCAGCACTTTGGGAGGCTGAGGCGGGTGGATCACTTGAGGTCAGGAGTTCGAGACCAGCCTGGCCAACATGATGAAACCCCCGTCGCTACTAAAAATACAAAAATTAGCCGAGCGTGGTGGCAGGCGCCTGTAATCCCAGATACTCAGGAGGCTGAGGCAGGAGAATCGCTTGAAATTGGAAGATGGAGGTTGCAGTGAGCCAAGATCACGGCCACTGCACTCCAGCCTGGGCAAAAGACCAAAACTCCATCTCAACAACAACAACAAAAAAGAGCCGGGTGCAGTGGCTCACGCCTGTAATCCCAGCACTTTGGGAGGCCAAGGCGGGCAGATCATGAGGTCAGGAGATCGAGACCATCCTGGCTAACACGGTGAAACCCCGTCTCTACTAAAAATACAAAAAAATTAGCCGGGTGTGGCGGCGGGCTCCTGTAGTCCCAGCTGCTGGGGAGGCTGAGGCAGGAGAATGGCGTGAACCCGGGAGGCAGAGCTTGCAGCGAGCCGAGATCGCACCACTGCACTCCAGCCTGGGTGACAGAGCAAGACTCTGTCTCAAAAAAAAAAAAAAAAAGAAAGAAAGATAAAATGTATTTTTGTGGTTGTTGATCATTATTTTGCTGGCTAATGCCACTGCTGCCATCATGTGGGAGTGTGTGTGGAGTGTATGAGAGAGAAAGCATGTTCCCCGGAGCCAATGCAATAAGACCTTAAGACCATCTAACATAGCTATATTCTAATTTAGCCATTAGTCCTCATTACTTAATTTTCTTCTGACTTTTTTTTTTTTTTGGTACATTAATCTATCCATTCATTAACTCAGCTTCTCTTTTCATTTTCAGTTTGGGCTTCCTGTAGACACCCTTTTCCTGCGCAACAGAGCTGGGCCTCCCTTTCTCTAATTTCCCCCTTAACATGCCTGGGGGGCATACAATCCAACCCGCGCCCTCTCCTCTCTTCCTGCCAAGGTTTATAGAAACCTGAGAATCTGAGGGTGATGTCTGGCCGCTGGTCAAGAAGCCAACAGTCATGTGGCTCGCAGATGCATCCTGCATCCCAGTCCCCCTCCCAGCACCCCCAGCCATCCCCCCTGTCTTCCCCCACATCTTTGCCAGAGGTGTGACATGGTCAGGGGGCCCATCTGCTACTCTTTCCCACCAGCTCCCCTGTTCCAGTTCTGGTTGCTGTTAGTTTCCCTGAGGTATTTGCAACCACCATGGCTGGGTAACCACCGATCAGCACAGCTGTCCCCTTGGTCTCCTGTATCCCAGTCACTAGTCCTCCCTGGTCCACCCCACCCTCATCCTCAGGAGCCACAGCCATTTCTTAGAGGGTTTCAAAAGGACAGCCTTTGGCGCCTTTTCCTTCTAACCTTTGAGTCCAGCCCTTTCCAGTTTTCATTCACTCGAAGTAACTGCACTCAAGCTGTGCTCAAAATCGGCAACGCATTTATTTACACCAAGCCCTTCCCATAAAACACAACTGCTGAAGAAAATAGCAGACGTTTCCCCTCTCTCTAACTCTGGGTATCCCACAGATGCAAAAGGGAGAATAAACCTGAATATTATTACCAGCCTAGAGTCTTGAATGATAGCCTTACCGAATTCTTCTTGTGAGGTATTTCAGCATCTCGGGGGGTAATTTCCGGAAGGGCTCCATACTGTCCCAATAAGGTGAGGCCAGTAGCAGGAATAATAAATCCCACTTTGTAGGCTGGAAAACTGAGCTGTCAAAAGAATCAAGTGTTTGGGGGTTTGCTCTGATGAGTCTTCTAGTTCATTTGGTGAATGTCATGATGATTTTTAACATGCATTTTGCATGCATCCCCCAATAAGAAGAGATGAGACTCGGCCGGAGAGAAGAAAAGGCCCTTAACTTTCTTTCCAATTTAAGGAGTTGAGAGTTTAAAAATATTCCAGCCCTAAGTTTTTATCATGGGTCCCATCTGATAGTGGCTTTGGGAACCTCTGTGAAGTAGAGAGCCCTCCCTTGTCAGGGTTATGAGGCACAGTGGCCTTTGGTGTTTGGCCAGTGACAGTGTGAGAGATGGAGTTGACCTGGCAATGATCTGTGGCTAACATGCCGTCTCTCTGCCCTTCCTTTGCAGTAATCCATGGCTGTGTACTGAATAGTATTCCCCGCTACAGCTGGACTGGACTCCATTTAGCCTTTTAAGCCGAGGTTCCTATTTTAACTGACAGCTTTCCTTTGGGGTGCCAGGCAGCGAGGCCCCCCACCCCTATCCTGCCATGTACTTCAAGCTCACTTCTTCTTTTTGAGTTCCGCAACTTGCTCCTGCCTCCCAGCCCCACTGGCACTGACCATGACCACCTACTTCTATTTTTTTTTTAGAGTTTCTTTTTTTGATCACTTACTTTCAAAGCACACAGTCAAACAAGGTTATGCCAAATTTCCAGGCCTTTTTGAAGTATTGAGAAGGGGAAGGGGATTTCTCACTTCAATTATAGATCATAATAGGAAGCAAAAAGAAAAAAATGAAAAGCAAACATATGCACGCACTTTTCTTGTTGACAAAGCAAGAATATAGGTTTGCTGTGTAGGTTTGGTGCTCTATTGATTGGTGAGTGACCAGAGCAAGTATGAAGGTGATGCTGCCAAAGCACAAGCCAGTTTCTTGGGAAAATTCAAGTTACAGTGGAGTATTTTTTTGAAGACCATATGCTTGGAGGTAGAAACAAACCAACGACCAAAAAAAAAAAAAAAAAAATCTGCTCAGATACTCAGCCAGTAGCTCAGAGAGATGCTGAGTTAGGCCTGTCAGGTCTCCTTGGGAAAGGCTTCATATTTGCAACTTTGATGATTCTATGTCCAGCTTCAGAGCTGCTTTCCCAGAAATTCACGCTTAAACAACCAACCGGTAACCACCACTTCCCCACACCGCCGCCCGGTAATTATTTGCATTACAAACCGGAGGCGCCCTCATTTGCATTTGTGTACAGATTAACTAGTTAAGGCTTGAGAAGCTCTGAATAATTCAAAAGTATTAGACCCACACAGCCTTGGAGAGACCTTCAGAAACTAAGGAGGAGTTTTATATTAAGGGAGACATTTTAGTCAGTAAGACGATATAACCTACTTACTCCGTAAGGGGAAATGAAGGCCCAGAGAAGGGAAGGGACTTGACCGAGGTCCCACTTCTGTTTCGAGGCAGAAGCCAGACTAATTTTCATGCCTCCTGACTCCCAATCAGTTTCACAAAGGGATTCAATCTGTTTATATACGTTACATTCCTGGATACGAGGTCTTTTGATGTTCAGAGTAACTGACTAGTTAGTATTAGAAGACCCTCGAGGTTTTTTTCCACAGAAAAACATCTGAAGATGGATTGGGTGAGGGCTGGCAAAACGAAGGCATGCCGGGCCAGCTCCTTAACCCAATGACCCAGTGATGCTGCAAGGCTGGAACGGGGTCCAGGAGACTGTGTGTAACAGGTGCCCTAGGTGACCCTTATAATCAGGGAAGTTTGGTGAACAAAAATCGAACCCATGAGTGAACATAAATTAAAAAGTTGATCAACCTATTAAAATGTGTATTTCATTGGGTAGCTTTTCTCACTGTAGACAGATTTTTTCCTTCTTCAATGAAAAGGCTTTTAAATTAGTACAACTGTTACTATTTAAAAAAAAAATACCCTAAGTACTCTGTTTACTTCTGGTGAAACAAAACCAGTCATTAGAAATGGTCTGTGCTTTTATTTTCCCAGACTGGAGTGGCTTTTCTGAAACACACACACACACACACACACACACACACACACACACACACACACACACGTACACACATCCCTCACTTCTCTTAAGCCAAGAAGTTTGCTTTCCCTAGCTGCAGTGTAGATGGCTCTTGTTTTTGTTTTTTTGTTTTAATCATTTGGCATTCACATGTGGCTGTTAATATGTGCTTGTTTTTAATTAAAACAAGAAGCTTTAAACTGGTGTGTGGTGTTCTTAAAACCTTCTCAGCAGATTTCCCCGTGGTGATGGCCCAGCAATGACCCCCATTTCTAACCTGTCTTCTCACACTACAATCTGTGCTACCTCAATATTGCCCATTCCCCTCCCCCTGTCTTACTTTGAATGTCCTCTTTCTTTGGCTAATTTCATGTTTTCTTTCTCTTTCTCTCTCCTTTCCAGCTTTTTTTAATCTTGTCTTCAGCAGCTGCACTAAGTCTAAAGGAGAAGACTGCCATTATAGAAGAGTTAGGGTTCCATATTGTCTCAAATCAGAAATCAACCAATTTCCTCTCCCCTCAAACTGCAAGCACACACACATACACCACACCACTCAACAAGTGTTCATGTGTCCCTGTGTCCAGGCAAGAAGCTCTCTTCCTGACTCACATGGTATTTTAAATGGAAGTGTCTTGTCCTAACTAACAAGGCAGGAAAAGAACCATCAGAGCTGGAAAATGGACGAAATGTAACCTCAGAGAAACAACTACAGGACCACTCACCCAAGTGTAAGTGACTGGGGCAGGACACCTCAGCTGTGGGTATGAAAGTACTGTTCTGTTCACAAGGTTTTGTTTGAGTTTTATGTTTTTCTTTTAAACATTTCTCTGGTTCGATGGGTTGACTGTCTACAGCCACTGTTAAACATTTCTGAATATGCAAGAGAAAGTCAAGTGACATTTGTATCTTCTTCAGCATTCGCAGACCTTCTATAGATTCCAGCAAAGGGGGAAAATGTATCCACTATCTAACACTTAGGTAGAGAAGGGAGGGGGTTTAAGCTTAGTGAGGGCAAAATTACTCCATTCCACCTTCCGAGACCAGTTAGGGTTTTGAGAGAGGTTTCTGCTCAACCTGGGATCTGGAGGGAGAGCTTTGATGTTGGTAAATCTGCCTTGAATTCATTGGTTTAACTTGCATCAAAATACCATGTGAGTGTGCTCATTCTCATATATCCCCTACCACCATCACCACCATTCTGCTGTTCAGTGTCTCTTGAGAGAGCCTCTTTGCATGTTTTCCAGAATCTGTGTGTGTTTTTCCTTTCTTCTCCTTTGTTCTTTTTGCTCAAAGGTGTGACCAGTCATTGCCCCTCTGGGGCTTTCATTCTCCAGGAGAAACATCCCAGAACCAGCACTGTTTAGCCTGATACCTTTCTAATGTCCATGTCAATTTTCAATAAAATTCAAAGAAATGCTAAATGGCTGTGTGATCTGATCTTAAGTCACTGGGTGATGCGGCCCACCACGGTTTGCCTGAGGAGTGGGTGGCTGCCTTCTGAGTGGGTGATTTGAAGGGCTCAGGGAGGCACCACCAGCCTATGAAATCTTCCTAGATGGGTTGCCATCCCCCGTGCCCGCCCCCTCCAACTTTATTCCAGCTGGGCCTGAAATTCCCAACACCTGGGGTGGAGGTGGGCAGGAAGTCCTCCACTTTTTCTTTATTAGCATGGATTCAACTAAGTTGAGCTGATTATCATTTAGTATATTAGATGGAGAATGTGGAGCGCCAGAGCCTACGGAACAAGATTCAGGTGAGTTTTAATTCTGGCAGGAAAAGAACTCTATGCCACGTGTCTTCTCTCATTTAATCCTGTGATGTGAGCATCCCCCAAAATTCATGGATATGACTATTCTTTATGACTCAAAAAGCATTCTATAGATACTAAGGAGTATTTTGTGTCCTGGGTCTACTAGAGAGCGGAGCCTCCCATCCTCCTAAGCATTAAAGTAGGCAAGAGAGAGAGTCATCACTTTAAAGAACTCTGGTGGCCCTTAGGAAAACGAATTTTCTTCAACTTTGTTTTCCTAAGGGCCAGGGTGCAGACATCAGGGCATGCATCCTTTCCTTACAGAGGCCTGGAGGCTTCAGAAAATATCCATGTATATAGGCCTGGCTCTGCGCAGCTCACACACTAGGAGACAGCCGAGTGAGACAATACGTCTGTGACGTTTGTGACGTCACCGAGCAGAGGCAGGCACTGAGGTGTTATGGAAAATTACAAGCCCTGGAGCCCTACAGACTTGTGAGCTGTAAGCAAGGTGGGCAGATCACCTGGGGTCGGGAGTTTGAGACCAGCCTGACCAACATGGAGAAACCCCGTCTCCACTAAAAATACAAAATTAGCCGGGCGTGGTGGCACGCGCTTGTAATCTCAGCTACTTGGGAGGCTGAGGCAGGACAATCGCTTGAACCTGGGAGGCGGAGGTTGCCATGAGCCGAGATCGCGCCATCGCACTCCAGCCTGGGCGACAGAGTGAGACTCCATCTCAAAAATAAATAAGTAAAATAAAAATTTAATAAAACGTCTCCAGAAAAGGAGGACATCAGTGATTGCCTTGCCATGGTCATTGTGAAGGCTACCTGAGCTAAAAGTTAAAGACCTGGGCGTTCAGTCAGTGGGCTCCCTTGTTAAGGACTGAGTTTTCCCTGTACTAGAAAGTACTCACCTGGCCAGGTGCAATGGCTCACGCCTGTAATCCCAGCACTTTGGAAGGCCGAGGTGGATGGATCACTTGAGGCCAGGAGTTCAAGACCAGCCTGGCCAACATGGTGGAACCCCGTCTCTACTAAAAATACAAAAATTAGCCAGGCATGGTGGCACGTACCTGTAATCCCAGCTACTGGGGAAGCTGAGGCAGGAGAATTGCTTGAACCTGGAAGGCAGAGCTTGCGGTGAGCCGAGATCGCGCCATTGCACTCCAACCTGGGCGACAGAGCAAAACTCTGTCTCAGAAAGAAAAAAAAAGAAAGTACTCACCTTAGAGTCCTATAATCCAGAGTTTCTCAACCACAGTACTATGGACATTTGGGACCAGACATCTGGAGGGCTGTCATGTGCGTTAAAGAATATTTAGCACTATCCCTGGCCTCTACTAACTAGATATCAGTAGGATGCCCTCCCTACCCTCCACAGTTGTGACCACCAGAAATGTTTCCAGGCATTGCCAAAATGTTCCCTGTGCACAATCGCCCCATGTGGACAACCATTGCTTTAGGTCAGGAGTGAGCAAACTTTTTTTTTTTTTTCTTGAGACTGGATCTCACTGTGTTGCTCAGGCTGGAGTGCAGTGGTGCGATCACAGCTCACTGCAGCCTCAAAATCCTGGGCTCAGGTGATCCTCCCACCTCAGCCTCCTGAGTATCTGGGACTATAGGCTCGTGCCACCATGCCCAGATTGTTTTTAATTTTTTTTGGAGGAGGGTAGAGACTGGGGTCTGGCTGTTGCTCAGTGTGGTCTTAAACTCCTGGGCTCAAGCGATCCTTCCACTTCGGCCTCCCAAAGAGCTGGGATTATAGGCGTGAGCCACCGCACCCAGCTGCAAACTTTTTCTGTAAAGCGCCAGCTGATAAATATTTTAGGCTTTGCAGGCCATGTGATCTCTGCAACTATTCAACTGTTACTACAGCACAAAAGCAGCCGTAGATAATATGTAAGAGGTTGAGCATGGCTGTGCTCAATAAAACTTCACTTATGGACATATGATTTGAATTTCACATATCCTGAATTATTCTTTTGATTTTTTTTTTTTTTTTGAGACAGGGTCTCACTCTTCGTCCAGGCTGGAGTGCAGTGGCATAGTCATAGCTCACTGCAGCCTCGAGCTCCTGGGCCCAAGCAATTCTCTTGCCTCAGCCTCCCAAGTAGCTGGGACTACAGGAGAGCGCCCCGACGCCCCGCTAATTCTTGTATCTTTTGTAGACACAGGTTTCCTCATGTTGCCCAGGCTGGTCTTGAACTTTTGAGCTCGAGCGATCCACCCACCTTGGCCTCCCAAAGTGCTGGGATTACAGTCGTGAGCCACTGTGCCCAGCAATTTTTTCCCAGCCATTAAGAAACGTAACCAAAACTAGCCTGGTGTCGTGGGCCTGTAGTCCCTGGCCCGCCACCACGCCTGGCTAATTTTTGTATTATTAGTAGAGACGGATTTTGCCATCTTGGCCAGGCTAGTCTCTAACCCCTGACCTCAAGTGATCCTCCCGCCTCGGCCTCCCAAAGTGCTGGGATTACAGGGGTGAGCCACTGCTCCCGGGCTTAATTAAATCCTTTGCATGAGATCTAGTTAGATGCTGCCCTTGGGGAACTTGCAGACTGGCCCCTTGTATCTACTCAACCACGTTTTTCAACACTTCCCAATATTTGTTCTCTGTCCAGTCTATTCTGTCTCTGCACAAACCTCTCCCTGAGTTACACAAACTGTTCGTTGACTCTGTCTGAAATATCATCTACTGATTTAAATCCTACCTTCAAGGCTCAGGTCCTACTTTAAAGACTTTCTTGATCTCATCCACCTATCCTGATTCCTGATCTCTTCTCCATTTTCAAACTCCCTAGTTGAACTTTTTTTTTTTTTTAACACTGTCTGACTCCATCGCCCAGGCTGGAATGCAGTGGCATGATCACGGCTCACTGCAACTGCTACCTCCTGGGCTCAAGCGATCCTCCCACCTCAGCCTCCCGAGTAGCTGAGACTACAGGCACGCACCACCACACTCAGCTACATTTTGTATTTTTTTGTAGAGACGAGACTTCACCATATTGCCAGGCTGGTCTCCAACTCCTGAGCTCAAGAGATCCGCCCACCTCGGCCTCCCAAAGTGCTGAGATTATAGGTGTGAGCCACTGAGTCCGGCCCCTACTTGAACTTATATAATCTTCTCTGCTTCTTATTTGGGGGACTTCCCTCCTCAAGAGATGTTAAGCTTCATAAGAGTAGGGGCATCATTTATAAGCTCTCCAGAGGTCCCAGTAAAGTGCAACCTCAAGATAAGTGATTAAGAGGTAGCTAGAGGCTGGGCGTGGTGGCTCACACCTGTAATCCCAGCACTTTGGGAGGCTGAGGCGGGCGGATCACTTGAGGTCACAAGTTCAAGACCAGCCTGGCCAACACGGTGAAAACCTGTCTCTACTAAAAACACAAAAAATCAGCCAGGTGTGGTGGCATATGCCTGTAGTCCTGGCTACTTGGGAGGCTGAGGTAGGAGAATTGCTTGAACCCGGGAGGCGGAGGCTGCAAGTGAGTAGAGATTGTGCCACTGCACTAGATTTATATTCTTCACCAATGTCAGGAGCTATTGCACTTTTTTTTTTTTTGAGATGGAGTCACGGTGTGTCGCCCAGGATGGAGTGCAGTGGCACGATCTCTCACTGCAGCCTCCGCCTCTCAGGTTCAAGTGATTCTTCTGTCTCAGCCTCCCAAGTAGCCGGGACTACAGGCAAGCGCCAACACGCCCGGCTAATTTTTGTATTTTTAGTAGAGACGGGTTTCACCTTGTTGGCCAGGATGGTCTTGGTCTCTTGACCTCGTGATCTGCCCACCTTGGCCTCTCAAAATGCTGGGATTACAAGCGTGAACCACTGCGCCTGGCCCACTATTGCACTTTTCAAACTACATTTTGAAATTAAGTTACAAGAATAGTATAATGCGGCTGGGCGCGGTGGCTCATGCCTGTAATCCCAGCACTTTGGGAGGCTGAGGCAGGCAGATCACCTGAGGTCAGGAGTTCGAGATCAGCCTGACCAACATGGAGAAACCCTGTCTCTACTGAAAATACAAAATTAGCCAGGCACATGCCTATAATCTCAGCTACTCAGGAGGCTGAGGCAGAAGAATCGCTTGAACCCAGGAGGCAGAGGTTGCAGTGAGCTGAGATCACGCCATTGCACTCTAGCCTGGACACCAAGAGTGAAACTCCGTCTCAAAAAAAAAAAAAAAAAGAATAGTACAACGTATACTCACATACTCTTGACCCAAATTCACCAGTTGATAACATTTTGCCCTATTGCTTTATCATTTTTGTGCCCCATATATATGTATGTGCCCCATATATACAGATAATATTTTCTTACATAACTGCAGACAGTTATCAACTTGGGTAAATTTCACATTCTAACACTAATCTATCAAATAATATCCTTTATAGCATTTTTTTTCTCGCAGTACAGGATCTAGTCTACGTTTATGCATTGTGCCCTGTCTTTTTACTCTCCTTTCGTTTGGAATAGCCCTTCTTTGTCTTTCATGACATTGATATTTTTGAAGTCCTATTTTAAAAATAGGATGTTCTCATTTTGGGTCAAGGTGTTGCCCAATTTCTCCAGGATATAATTACTGTTTTTTTTTTATTGCTACTAATAAACAATCTGTGGAGAGAAACTGTTAAGTTCCTGGAAATATCTTACTCATCAAAAATTTCTCCTTGGATTGAGCATCTGTTGATAATGTTTGCCTGGACCGATCTATATAAAATGATGATTTTCCAACTCCAGCACTCCCTCCATATTTACCAGTCAGCACATGGTATTCGACTGAAAGCAAAGCCCCTCCCTGCAAAGGCCCTCCCTTCTCTCTCATTTATTTATCTATTTGGTATCACTGTGGACTTATGGCTCCCAAGTTTTCAGTGGTTTATAATTCATTACTGTCTTTAATAATATTGGTGCTCACATTACTCAGAATTGGCCAGTGAGAACTCCTAGTTATGCTTTCAATCCGTTACTAAACATTCCTCAAGAGCACATGGTGGTGCAGAATTTTCGGGTCAAGAACTTTTAGTGATCTGATTTTTGGGATAGTTTATGGGATAGTTAAAAGACAGGTTCCAAGTTTCTGTCTTTTCATTACGTACTGACTCCCCCTATAGGCAAAAGCAGGAAAGGAAGCTCAAAGCAGTCAAAACGGGGGTTTATGTGTCTTAAGACAGTGACACGGCCGGGCACGGTGGTTCACGCCTGTAATCCCAGTACTTTGGGAGGCTGAGGTGAGTGGATCACGAGGTCAGGAGTTCAAGACCAACCTGGCCAAGATGGTGAAACCCCGTCTCTACTAAAAATACAAAAATTAGCAGGGCGTGGTGACCGGCACCTGTAATCCCAGCTACTTAGGAGGCTGAGGCAGAGAATTGGTTGAACCAGGGAGGCGGAGGTTGCAGTGAGCTGAGATCGTGCCACTGCACTCCAGCCTGGGCAACAGTGGATTAGAGCGAGACTCCGTCTCAAAAAAAAAAAAAAAAGACAGTGACAGACCCCTGCAATAGAGAGGAGGAGGATGGATGATTACAGGTGGTGTCCGGATTGTTTTTATTTTTGTTTTTTTTTTCTTTTTTGAGACGGAGTCTTGCTCTGTTGCCCAGGCTGGAGTGCAGTGGCGTGATCTCAGCTCACTGCAACCTCCACCTCCCAGGTTCAAGCAATTCTCCTGCCTCAGCCTCCTGAGTAGCTGAGACTACAGGCGTATGCCACCATGCACGGCTGATTTTTGTATTTTTAGTAGAGATGGGGTTTCACCATGTTGGCCAGGCTGGTCTAAAACTCCTGACCTCAGGTGACCCGCCCGCCTCGGCCTCCCAAAGTGCTGGGATTACAGGCATGAGCCACCGCGCCCAGCCTTCTGGATTGTTTAGGATTGTAATGGCAACCTTTATTATCTATGCCTACACCTCTCTTCAACTAATGTATTTCTTCTCAGGGGTTTTAACTCCTGCTCACTGAGAAACCCTCTGTGGCTGTGAGAAAGGAATGGGCTAAAATAGATTGGCTGATGGATTTTTTTGTAATCAGAAGGATACCAGGGAGAGAAGGACATGGAGAATCCTGGAAATTTGTGTTCTATGGATGAAACTGCTTATTCCTTAGTGGGATTTACAAATGGAATCCTGTTATGGTTGTTCCAGAGCAGATGGCCTCTTACATCAGTTCCAACACCTTTTATTTTGTAATCCAATTTCAAAAGTCAGATTACAATTATTTGTTTCTATACAACGGAAAAGTTTTAATCCAGGCTGAGAGGAAGTAGTTTATCTTTTCACAGATTGTTTTCTAGGAAAGATGTATATTTATTACAATGCGGATTTTGGTGAAAGTTGGCAACTTAGGCTATGTCTTAGTCCATTTATGCTGCTATAACAAGATACTGAGACCTGAGACTTATAAAGAATATATATTTATTTCTCAGAGTTCCAGAGCCTGGGAAATCCAAGATTAAGGCACCAGAAGGTTCAGTTGTCTGGTTGGGGCAGCTCTCTGCTCTCTGCTTCCAAGATGGTGCCTTGTTGCTGCATCCTCCAGCAACAAGGGGAGAGGAGTGTTATATCCGCACATGGCAGAAGGCAAAGGGCAAGTGACCAAACACCGATTAAAGCCTCTTTCATTAGGTCCTTAATCCCATTCCTGAGGGAGGAGCTCTCATGGCTTAATGACCTCTTAAAGGTCCCACCTTTTAATACCATCACATCAGCCATTAAGTTTCAACACTTAAATTTTGAAGGGGACACACTCAAACAATAGCAGGCTGAAATTAATCTAATTATAAAATAACAAATCAGCTTAAAATGTAGGCTCCAAGGAAATGATTTTCACTGGGTTGAGACAAAAGGAAGAGCTTCATTCATTTATGCATTTAATTCAACAAATATCTCTGGAGTGCCTGCAGGATCAAGGTATAGGTGCTAAGACCAAAACAGATGAGTTCCATGCTTTCATGTAACTGACATTCCAGTGGAATACAGCAAGAATACAAAAAGGAAAGAAAGTGGTTTTTCTCTGTTGTCCTGAAATTGATTACAAGCTGGGTAGGGAGAAATAGCCCTATGTAAAACTAAATGTGCCACCAGCAGTAGGACCACTGGATGAGGTGGCTTTGACTCAGTGCCCTCTTTAACTCTCTAATGACATATTTCTAACTATATGACACCTTATGCGTAGGGGTGTATTGGACTGAGAAGAGCAGAAGATAACAGCACTTTTCAGTTTCAGAATTCTGTATTTCCATGTCTGTCTTTCTCTATGGTGGGCATTCATGTTTATTGAGGTAATGTTAGTCTCTAAACCATCAAATCAAAGAATATAGTACTACGAAGGAAGGTTAGAGATAATAAATTCAAGTAATGATTGTACGAGTGAGAAAAATAAGGCCACAGAGGTGAAGTGTCTTGCCGAAGGCTGTAGAGATAGTTGTTGGCAATGATGAGATGAGAATTTAGGTCACCTGACTCCTCATCTAGTGTTCCCCCAGTCATTTGCCTTTGCACTGCTCTGTTTTCTTTCTTTCTTTTTTTTTTGAAACAGAGTCTCACTCTGTTGCCCAGGCTGGAGTGTAGTGGCGCGATATTGGCTCACTGCAACCTCTGCCTCCCGGGTTCAAGCGATTCTCCTGCCTCAGCCTCCGGAGTAGCTGGGATTACAGGCGCCTGCCACCACGCCCGGCTAATTTTTGTATTTTTAGTGGAGACAGGGGTTTCACCATGTTGGCCAGGCTGGTCTCGAACTCCTGACCTCAAGTAATCCTCCTGCCTCGGCCTCCCAAAGTGCTGGGATTACAGGCGTGAGCCACCGCACCCAGCCTGTTTTATTTTCTTCACAGCATGTATCACCTTGTGAACTTTTTAAAAACATTTCGATTGTTACCCCAATAAACATGAATGCCCACCACGGAGAAAGACAGACGTGGAAATAAATTATGAAAGTGTGTAAAGTGCTGTTATCTTCTGCTCCTCTCAGTCTAATACACCCCTAACATAAAGTGTCATATAATTAGAAATACGTCATTAAAGAGTTAAAGATGGTAGTGTGTTAAAGCCACCTCATCCAATGGTCCGGCTCCTGGTGGAACATTTAGTTTTATGCAGGGCTATTTCTCCCCACCAAGATTGTAGTCAATTCCAGGACAACAGAGAAAACCCACTTTCTTTCCTTCTTTTTTGTACTCTTGCTGTATTGAGCACACAGTAGGTGCTGTGTAAATTCCCGCCGACAGACACTCATTGATTAACTGCTTTCGTGACACAGGTTGGCAGATAGGGACTGAAGTTATTGAGTGAAGCTGACTCCGGGTGGAGTGATACATTTGGCTACAGTGATTGAGCGGCTCTACCTTGCAGTACCCTCTTCTGTGGGCCCCTTTTGTATCTTGTAATCTTTTGCACTTAAGTTGATACGTGAAATACAGACTTGCAATCGTGATCAGAACTGTGTAAACAGTATCTGTGTTCGTAATTGGGATACAGTATGGACTTGAAACTGGCTAACTTGAGAAGCGGCGCTGTGGATGATTTTCTTGGCAAGTGTTTCATTTTTACTACGTTTCCGCAGTAAGCTATTACACAAAGCTAATGATGCACGATGCACAGAGCATTTCAAGCTACTCTCTGAAGAAAAGGCACCTCGGGGAGCTGACTGTTTTGTTTTGTTTTAATGTAAAGTCCAGTGCAGACCTAAATCCCTTACAAGGAACATGGTCTCACTGTCGCGCCGCTTAAAAATCCAGGGAAAAGCGTCAGACGAGCCGTGGGCTACCAACATTCATCTGAGGGCACCTTCTAACCATATTCTCGAACCTCAGAGAACCTTCCTAAATTCCCTTTCTGGAGTCCCCGCCCTCCGCTTGTCACCGTAGTGCGTCAAAGGCCCGTAGTCGTCACTGGAGGGAAAAAAGTACGTCGCGCGAGATTCTGCGACGGGATTTGGAAGTTAGGGAACAGCCGCGGCGCAAGCGCACTGGCCTCACAACCCCGGACGGCACGCGGGTAGGTAGGCTAGAACCTAGAGGAGGGGAGCAGAGCGTGCTGGGGTCTTTTATCGCTCTCCGCGCAGTGCGTGGGTCTGCGGATCCGTGGAGGTGCGGAGCCTGACTCGGCCTCCCCGGCTCGCGCGTGAGTGCGGCGGAAGCCCTTCTGCTCCTCCACGAGTTAGAGGAGTGTAGGGGACGTGCATCCCAGTGTCGGGACGCGAGCTCGTGCTCCTCTTTTCCTCCTAACGGTGGCCCCCACGCACACACTCCAGTCCCCCCGAGAGTTGATCTTCTCCCCTCAGCGCGCCCCTCCTTACCCGGCCCCTCCCACCGGCCCCCCGTTTCCGCCCGCTTGCTAGCTGCCTAGCTCGCGGTCCGTAGTCGGCTTCGTCCCTGGGGTCCCTGCTTGGGGGCGGAGAAGATGGCTGGAGGACGTCTGCTGTTGGGGGGCGACTTCCTGTCGCCGCCGCCGCTGCCCCCCCTCCCGCCGCCGCCGCTGCCGCCCCTCCCGCCGCCCCCGCCCGAGCCAGTGCTGGAGCAGTGGCGCTATAGCCACGAAAGTGACTGGCAGTGGGCTCTGCGGCGCAGCTTCATCTGTCGGCACCTGCACAGCTATCCCGGGGCTGCCCTCGACCAGCTCCTCGCGCTCTCCGCCGCCTGGACCAACCACGTCTTCCTGGGCTGCAGGTGAGGAAGGTGTGGGTGTCGGGTTAGGGACGGGGGTGAGAGATCGGTGATGGGGGATCGGGTTAGGGACGGCGCTGGAGGGATCGATGATGGTGGTTGGGATAGGGACGGGGGCGGGATGCGGAGGATAGGTTGGAGGCTGGAGATTTGGAGGTGCTGGAGGGCACTAGAGGGATCACTATTGGCCTGGGGGTGGGGTGGCCGACTGTGGTGGCTGGGCATGACATAACAGCTAGGAGGGTGCAGAGATCGCGGAAGCGGCCTCTCCAGGACCAGGGATGGAGATGAAGCAGCGCCTAGAAGAGGATTATTGAGAGGTGGTCATTGTAGTTGGTGGCGGTATTAGAGGACGTGGGGAATGATGAATAGCAGCATCTCGGACCTGCGTAGGGCCTTCCAAGGATGCAGTATCCGCAGAGAATATATTCGACAGTTGGAGTTGTGGGGGAAGGGCGAGGGGACCCCACTGTTCTAGTCTCCTCCTGACCACTCTCTTTTTCCATTCCTCTTAAATACCCCCCTCTACTTGCAGCCCCCTAGCAGGGTCTTACTGTCTTCTCCTGGGGAGGCGGTACGTATCAGCTCTCTGAGCCGCAGCAGCGTCAGCCTTGCTTGTAGATTTGCGCATAATGTGTCTGGACTCAAACAAAGAAATGGATATATCTACTGTAAAAATGGATTGCCCTCTTTTTACCCTAAATGGGATCAGAAGGATTAACATTTGGCTCTGAGTGAGGTTTTAGGTGTGTGTGTCTGTGGTGGGGGTGGGGGTGTGTGTGTGTTTGTTTTTCCCCCCTTTCCTAGAACCTGGTGACGTTTTGAACAGGCCTCTTTGAAAGCTCTTTGCATTCAATGGAGACTGCAGTATGGTTCCAACGCAGCGTGTTTTGTTTGTTTTTTTTTTTTGAAGAGGCTACTTGGACCTCTGTCCTTCAGAACCCCTAAATCGGCCCTATACTAGACTATTCATTCTTTGATAGATTGGGAGACGACTTCTTTTGACATTCCTGCAATCATAGTTTTTTGTTTTTGTTTTTGTTTTTGTTTTTTTTTAAATCAGGAAGGGTGAGAGATTCTGGAATATGATCATGTCAATTTTGGCCAGTTCAGTTCCAGGAGTGACTGTAACAGATGCAGAAAAATAGGATTGTCTCCTCCTGCCCTTAATTATTGAACATGGCATTCAGTGTGATATACTTTGCTCTCATCACAGACATTACTTTTCTGTCTTCTCAAGGTTAGCATAATTTCTACCTCCAGAGATAATGATTAGGAGGAACTGGTTACAACTGAAGAAGCCTTAGTTATTGAACAAGTCAGATAAATCTACTTGACCTTTGCCTAACAGTGTTGTTCTTGAGTTCAAAAGTTACCTTTATCCTATAATCGTAAGTCTCCATAATATCACAGAAGGCTGTCGGAAATCTGAATCCTTAAAATAAAAACAAAAACTTAAATGAGGATAACTATCCTTTGTGTTAATAATAAATCTTACCTTCCCACTAGAATGGAAGCTCCCTTAAGGATAGGGATTTTGCTTTCTTGTTTACACCTTTATCCTCAGTGCCTAGAAGATTGCCTGCTAAATAATAGCTGCTCAATAAATGTGTGTGGAGTGAGTGGATGTATACAGCTTTATGATGTACAACACATTTTAAATATTTATTATTTCATTTCCTACAACAACTTTGGGGATTAGGTGGCATCTCATTTTTACTGCTAAATCAGTGGAGGCCAAGAAGTTAAGTGACGTTTCCAAGGTCTTACAGCTGGGGCTAGGACCTAGGTCTTCTGATACCCAGACTGATGCTCTTTCCACTGAGCCACAGCTGCCATATTTGGGAAGGATGGATCATGAGTGAAAGCAAGTAACTGAACATAAGCCACATCATTATATCTCAGGATTTAATTCCAAGAACAACACCCTTGTACATAACCAGGGCATTAAAAACACAAAGTAGGCCAATGGTAGTTGGTGTTAAAGGCTCAAGAATTGCAGGCTGTTGTGTGTGCACACAGGTGCATCTGTGGATACTATGTATGCTACATTGTACATACTATGTATGTACACCATGTTACATTGTAGCTAAGTCAGTTTAGTTAATACAAGAATTGCCATTACATTATCAAATAGCTTAACTGAAAAGTAATGTTTGCATTATATCTGATAGCTTCCATATAGAAGAAAGGGAAGGGCCAATGAAGACTCTTGGAAGCTAGGGACCAAGTGCAGTCTTTAGATGGGCTTTATGTTACCTCTCATCTTCAGGTGGGTAAAACTTGTGTTCCAATACTTGTTGATGTTAATGTAGATTTTGGCAGAGTTCTTGTTTTCTGTGGCAGAATACTCTTCTCTCAAGTGAATTGTAGAATACATGGTGAAATAGCTCTTTCTAAACTTAAATTGTTAATTTTTTTTTTTTTTTTTTTGAGACAGAGTCTGCTCTGTCACCCAGGCAGGAGTGCGGTGGCACGATTTTGGCTCACTGCAACCTCCACCTCCTGGGTTCAAGCAATTCTCATGTCTCAGCCTCCCGAGTAGCTGGGATTGCAGGCATGCACCACCACACCCGGCTCATTTTTGTATTTTTGGTAGAGACGGGGTTTCGCCATTTTGGCCAGGCTGGTCTCGTACCCCGGGGCTCAAGTGATCCGCCAGCCTCAGCTTCCCAAAGTGCTAGGATTACAGGAGTGAGTCACTGCACCTGGCCTTAAATTGTTGATTTGTTGCTCGAGGTTTATCACTTGACTTTTGGAACAGGCTGTGAAGAATAGCACAAAGGAATTTCCTTGCTCTTTTTTCCCTCTGGCAAAATGTTTTGTATTCCATTTTACTTGGAGCTGAAATAAACTTCTAGGTCAAAGAAATCTTTGAAAATTCCTTCATCATAAGACCAAGCCAGGAGGAACTCAAATGTGCAGGGAAACAGACCTTATTTCATTCCTTTTGGTGATGGTGGCAATTTCCACAGAACAAATTTGAATATCTTCTTGACTCTGTAACTGGGGAGTTCAAACTTAAGTACACGTCAAAATCACCTGTTAGGCTTGTTAAAACAGATTGCTGGGTCCCAGCCCCAGGGTGTCTGACTCGGTAGGTCTGAGGTGGGGCCTCAGATTTTGTATTTTTGATAAGTTCCCAGGTGATGCTGATGTTGCTGATCCAGAGATCAGCACTCTCAGAACCACTGCTTTGTAGGATAAAATAAAAATGTTTCTATTCTGTTTTTTAATCATTTTCTCCCTAATTGTCCAGGCAACCAGAAAGCTCAAATGGCTAAAATTGTTTCACTTCATTTTTTCATTTGTCTGTTTCGTCCAAGTAAACAACTTAACCAAGAATTTTTTTCTGCAGGCAATTTCTGAGATATGTCTTGTGGCTAGTGAAAAATTAGTTCAGTTTTCTGACCAACTACATCTACAGCACTTAAATAATTGTACATATGAATGCCTAGAGAACTGTGTGATTTTTACTTAAAATTGTAGATAGTGTCTTTATATTTAATAAAGCAGTTTGATTAACTGGGGCATTTAGTTTTCCAGTCATTGTTGATCAATAAGATTAGAAGGAGAATTCTGGCCTACTATTTACCTTTGATGAGACATTAATTAATAGATAAAATATACCTTAAAATGAAACCAGCTTTGCTCCCTTATTTGTCTTTTCCTGGTTGATACAAGACTGGTGTTTGGAAGGTAGATAGATGTTGGCTGGGCTCATGTTGCAAAACTGTGCACATAGTAGGGAGAGTGCATAAATCACTAGCTAATGAAATGGGTGTGAGAGCTTTTGAAAGATTATCAATAATCTGGGTGTATGTTATTAACTTATATCAGGAGTCTTATCAATTGTTGTTGTTGTTGTTTTAATAGAGATGGGGTTTCCCTCTGTGGCTCAGGCTGATCTTGAACTCCTGAGCTCAAGTGATCCACTCGCCTTGGCCTCCCAAAGTGCTGGGATTACAAGGGTGAGCCACCGCGCCTGGCCCGAGTCCTTTTTTCTTTTTCTTTTTTCTTTTTTTTTTTTTGTGTGACAATGTTTCGCTCTTGTTTCCCAGGCTGGAGTGCAATGGCGCGATCTTGGCTCACCGCAACCTCCGCCTCCCGGGTTCAAGCGATTCTCCTGCCTCAACCTCCCTAGTAGCTGGGATTACAGGTGTGCAACCACCATGCCCGACTAATTTTGTATTTTTAGTGGAGGCAGGGTTTCTCCATGTTGGTCAGGCTGGTCTCGAACTCCTGACCTCAGATGATCCGCCCGCCTCGGCCTCCCAAAGTGCTGAGATTACAGGCATGAGCCACTGCTCCCAGCTTTTTCTTCTTCTTCTTCTTCTTCTTTTTTTTTTTTTTGAGAGAACCTTGCTCTGTCACCCAGGCTGAAGTGCAATGGTGCGATCTCAGCTCAGTGCAGCCTCCACCTCCTGAGTGCAAGTGATTCTCCTGCCTCCACCTTCCGAGTAGCTGGGATTACAGGCGTGCACCACCACGCCCAGCTAATTTTGTTTGTATTTTCAGTAGAGACGGGGTTTCACCACGTTGGCCATGCTGGTCCTGACCTCAGGTGAGCCGTCCACCTGGGCCTCCCGAAGTGCTGGGATTACAGGCATCAGCCATTTTGCCAGGCTCCGGCCCGTCTTATGAAAAGTTTTTTTTTTTTTTAATTAGTTTTCCTTATGAATAGTTTTGAATAAACAATTTTACACTTGGAAACCTTAATCTTTGCTTAATTTTCAAATCTCAGCTTTTTTATTTGAACTTAGTAGAACAGTTTAATATACTTTTTTAAAGTTTTGTAAAACGGCCGTGGCCGGTGGCCCATGCCTGTAATCCCAGCACTTTGGGAGCCCGAGGCGGGCAGATCACGTGAGGTCAGGAGTTTGAGACCAGCCTGGCCAACGTGGTAAAACTCAGGCGTGGTGATGGGTGCTTGTAGTCCCAGCTACTCGGGAGGCTGAGGCGGGAGAATTGCTTGAACCTGGGAAGCAGGGGTTGCGGTGAGCCGAGATCGCGTCATTGCGCTTCAGCTTGGGTGCCAGAGTGAGAGTCCATCTCAAAAAAAAAAAAAGTTTTGTAAGCATCTATTACTGAATATTTATTAAATTTCAGCTGCCATTGTATGTTATAGTGGTTTACGTTATTCATAAGTATGCATATATATGCACCTGTCTTGTGTCCAGAGATGTAAAACTTATGAAGACAGATGTTTTTGTTCATTAGAAATCATCTTTTTATGTGCTAGATATGGTGGGATAGTTGAGTCACATCCTGGTTTCCAAAAGCTTGGTATAATATCAGCTACTTTTGAGAACCATAAGACCTCAGAATTTTGGGGTTCTTTTTTTTTCTTTCTCTTTTGAGACAGTCTTGCTCTGTCGCCAAGGCTGGAGTGCAGCCTGTGATCTCCGCTCACTGCAACCTCTGCCTCCCGGGTTCAAGCGATTCTCCTGCCTCAGTCTCCCGAGTAGCTGGGTCTACAGGTGCATGCCACCATGACTGGCTAATTTTTGTATTTTTAATAGAGACAGGGTTTCACCATGTTGTCCAGGCTGGTCTTGAACTCCTAGCCTCAAGTGATCCGCCTGCCTCGGCCTCCCAATTGCTGGGATTACAGGCATGAGCCACCACGCCTGGCCTGGTTTTCTTTTTTAAGCATTTATAATCTAAAGGGTAACTTAGCAGACTTAAAAATATAGTATGCGTGCATCTTAAAAAATTACTATATTAGACTTGCCTTAATGATATCTTACATTTTATTCAATAATATAAATACTGTATAGCCATTAAAACTCATGTGGTAATGATGTGGAGAAAAGGCTTATGATACAGTAAATTAAAAACAAAAAACCCCACCAGATTTGAAATCAACATAGATGACTTGATAGTGATGGGGAGTTATGGAAAACACAGAAAAAGCATTAAAAAATAAACCCCTACATGGCCAGACACGGTGGCTCACGCCTGTAATTCCAGCACTTTGGGGGGCTGAGGCAGGCAGATCACGAGGTCAGGAGTTCAAGACCAACATGGCCAACATGGTGAAACCCTGTCTCTACTAAAAATACAAAAATTAGCCGGACATGATGGTGCACTCCTGTAATCCCAGCTACTTGGGAGGCTGAGACAGGAGAATCACTTGAACTGAGGAGGCAGAGGCTGCAGTGAGCCGAGATCATGCCATTGCACTCCAGCCTGGGCAATAGAGTGAGACTCAGTCTCAAAAAAAAAAATTAATTAAAACCCAACATGTTGATGAAGTTATCAGTGGTTGGGGTTATTATAACTATTTTTGAGACAGGTTCCTCTGTCACCCAGGCTGGAGTGCAGTGGTGTGATCACAGCTCACTGTAGCCTCAACTTCCTAGGCTCAAGTGATTTGAGTAGCTGGGATTACAGGTGTATGCCACCATGCCCAGCTTTTTTTTTTTTTTTTTCTTTGTAGAGACAGGGTCTTGCCATGTTGCCCAGGCTGATCTTGAATTCCTGGGCTTAAGTGATCCTCTTGCCTTGGTCTCCCAGAGTGTTAGGATTACAGGTGTGAGCCACTGCTCCCGGCCAGTGGTTGGGAATGTAGGTGCTTTTCTTGGTGGATTTTCTAAAATGCCTGGTGTTAAAGGTGTTACTTTAAAACACACTATTAAAAAATAGACTCTGGAGAAAGTGAATAATAAAAGCTTTACTGCCTTGGCTTACTTTAAATATGTGGCACCACTTCTTTATCTTTGGAAAGCTACTCTGGATTGTAGAAGCCTCGTGGTCTTACTAAACACTCTAGATTCGTATTTACATTGTTCTTTGAATAGTGAAGTGTTTGTTAGGTACTATACGGTCTTTTTCATTATTGTTCATACTGGCTGGGCTTCTTCAGTATTATGACTTCATAGCAAAGGACAGAGAACTGTATCAGCAACCTATGTAAAGACTTATTTTTATGGCCTATGGGTGAAGTTGAATTTTGTGGCAGATGTAATGAATAGGGTATAGTAAGTAGGTAGAATAATTACTAATGCTGGAAGAAACCTGAGAAAAGTGAGCATGAATGAGTGAGCCCTAAGTGCATCACACCGTAAGACATATATGCCATTTGCAGTTGTATACTGTACTTGGAATCGGGCTCTAACTGAAGGTCTGGAGAATATTGACTGGAATTCAAGGTAAGTTGCCTGGTTGTAGGGCCACTTTTGGTAACAGGCGTGGGATTAGTAGTTTAAGATTTATAGACTCATCTCATTTTCATAGACTTTTTTTTTTTTTTTTTTTTTTTTTGAGATGGAGTTTCACTCTTGTTGCCCAGGCTGGAAGGCAATGGTGCGATCTCGGCTCACTAAAACCTCTGCCTCCCAGGTTCAAGCGATTCTCCTGTCTCAGCCTCCCAAGTAGCTGGGATTACAGGCATGCGCCATCACACCCGGCTAATTTTTGTATTTTTAGTAGAGACAGGTTTCTCTATGTTGGTCAGGCTGGTCTCGAATTCCCGACCTCAGGTGATCTGCCTGCCTTGGCCTCCCAAAGTGTTGGGATTACAGGCGTGAGCCACACGCGCCCGGCTTTTGTTTTTATCTCATACTTTGGAAATATGTACTCCCAAATTTGAATGGAAGTGATATGTAGAATGTATTGTGTTTATTTTATTTTATTTTATTATTATTTTTGAGACAGAGTCTCGCTCTTGTCGTCCAGGCTGGAGTGCAGTGGTGCAATCTCAGCTCACTGCAACCTCCGCCTCCCGGGTTCAAGCAATTCTCCTGCCTCAGCCTCCTGAGTAGCTGGGATTACAGGCGCCTGCTACCACACCCAGCTAATTTTTGTATTTTTAGTAGAGACGGGGTTTTACCATGTTGGGTAAGCTGGTCTTGAACTCCTGACCTCAGGTGATCTGCCCACCTCAGCCTCCCAAAATGTTGGGATTACAGGTGTGAGCCACCCCGCCCAGCCATATTGTGTTTTAGACTGTGCTTTCTGATGTTCAGATAAGAGTCAATGAAAATAAAATTACTCTTGGTATTTAAATACTCGTGCTAGCTTTAGCAGCAACAGTTGTCAGTGGGAAGTACAGGTTACAACAGAGCTAGCTTCCAGCAGTCTGTCGGGGAGGCCACCGTGCCTTGACTTCTGCTTTGCGTGGAATGATACGTGATGGGTGTGCAACCTGTTCTACTGAAAATGGAAAATGTTACCCTCCTTCTGGTTCAGAACTGATTCATGTAAAGGTATGATAGTTACTCATTTTCAGAACTTCTTCCCAAATGCTACCAGGAATCTCTTTTTTGGTCCTAGGCTGGGGAAGGCTCTGAAGGTAGGAAGGGAGAGCAGGTAACCGTCATAACCAACACTTCACTTGAGCTCCTGTTTCTGTTTCTCTGTAGTAAAATGTTATTCTATCAAGCAGCCAATCTTCATAAGGAGCCTTTTTTTTTTTTTTTTTTAAGAGACCGTCTCAGCCGGGTGCAGTTGCTCACACCTGTAATCCTAGCACTTTGGGAGGCTGAGGCAGGTGGATTACCTGAGGTCAGGAGTTCAAGGTCAGCCTGGCCAACATGGCAAAACCCTGTCTCTACTAAAAAATACAAAAATTAGCCAGGCGTGGTGGCGCATGCCTGTAATCCCAGCTACTTGGGAGGCTGAGGCAGGAGAAGTGCTTGAACCCGGGAGGTGGAGGTTGCAGTGAGCTGATATTGTGCCACTGCACTCCAGCCTGGGAGACAGAGCAAGACTCCCTCTCAAAAAAAAAAAAAAAAAAAAAAAAGAGACAGGGTCTCACTCTGTCACCCAGGCTGGAGTGCAGTGGTGTGATCACAGCTCACTGCAGCCTTGACCTTCCCAGCTCAAGTGATCCTCCCACCTCAGCCTCCCAAGTAGCTGGGACTACAGGCATGGGTCACCATGCCTGGCTACGTTTTCTGTTTGTTTGTTATTTTTATTTTTTGTAATGATGGTGTTTCGCCATGTTGCCCAGGCTGGTCTTGAATTCCTGGCTTCAAGTGATCTGCCCACCTCCACCTCTCAATGTGCTGGGATTACAGGCATGAACCACTGTGCTCAGCCAGGAGCCATTTTTTAAATTGTATATTTTAAAGCTTTGCCTTAAAATTTCAAGCACACAAAAGTAGAAAAGAGTTTAATGAATCCCATGTACCCATCACTCAGCAATCATCAGCAGTCTGCCATGCTACCCTTCTTCATCTATTCTGCCCTAGGTTTTTGTGGGCAATAGTCTGGAGTATATTTTATAAAATCCTGACATCATTTCACCTGTACATTCTTCAGTACACATCTGTATCAGATAAGAATTTTTAAAAATAGTCACCATACCATTATTCATATTCAACAAAATTTACAGTGATTTCTTAAAAATCACCCAATGCCTATTGCATGTTCAGTTTTCTTCATTTGTCTCAAATGTCTTTTTACAGCTCGTTTGATTCATTCATGATACAAAGTCTATACAATGTATTTGATTGATCCATCTCCTTTAACCTATAACCACTCCCTCTTCCTTTTATTTTCATTCTACAGTATTTATTTGATGAGGAAACTGGGCTGTCACATACTGTTCCCTCATTCTGGAGTTGGATAGTTCCATTCTTGTGGTGTTTCACATGTTTCTGGGAGTCAGGAACTTGATTAGTTTCAGGTTCAATTCTCTGGAGAGCCATAACGCTTTCTAGATAGTGCCGTGATATCCTATTGTATCACATCGTGGGGTACATGTTCGGTTGTCCCACTTTTAGTGATATTAAGATGATAAAGTCCCCGATCAGCTTTTTAAACTGAAATTTTTCTTGAGATAATTATAGATTGACATGCAACTGTAAGAAATAATACAAAGAGATGGCCGGGTGCGGTGGCTCATGCCTGTAATCCCAGCACTTTGGAAGGCTGAGGCCTGCGGAGAGGTCAGGAATTTGACACCAGCCTGGTCAACATGATGACCTTGTCTTACTAAAAATACAAAAATTAGCCCCGCATGGTGGTGCATGCTTATAGTCCCAGCTACTTGGGAGACTGAGGCAGGAGAATCACTTGAATCCAGGAGGCGGAGGTTGCGGTGAGCCGAGATCGCGCCATTGCATTCCAGCATGGGTGACAGAGTGAGACTGTTTAAAAAAAAAAAAAAAGTTCCTTTTTGTCCCAAGTAGTGTTCCATAGTGTGTGTGTACCAGAATCTAACTATTCACCTGTTGAAGGACATCTGGGCTGATTGTAGTTTTGGGCTGTTACAAATAAAGCTGCTATGAACATTCGTGTACAGGTTTTTGTGTGAACATAAGTTCTCATTTCTCTGGAATAAATGTCCAAGAGTATAATTGCAATCGCTGGATCAAGTGGTAACTGATTTTTTTTTTTTTTTTTTGGAGGCAGTGTTTCATTCTTGTTGCCCAGGCTGGAGTGCAATCGTGCGATCTTGGCTCACTGCAACGTCCACCTCCTGGGTTCAAGCGATTCTCCTGCCTCAGCCTCCAGAGTAGCTGGGATTACAGGCATGCACCACCACGCCCGGCTAATTTTGTCTTTTTAGTAGAGACGAGGTTTCTCCATGTTGGTCAGGCTGGTCTCGAACTCCCGACCTCAGGTGATCCGCCCACCTTGGCCTCCCAAAGTGCTGGTATTACAAGCGTGAGCCACCGCACCCGGCCTGATGTTTGGTTTTATAAGAAACTACCAAACTGTTTTCCAGAGTGACTGTATCATTTTACATTCCCAGCAGCAATGTCTGAGTGATCCAGTTTCTCCTCATTTTTGCCAGCATTTGGTATTGTCACTTTTTTTTTTTTTTTTTTTTTTTTTTTTTTGAGATGGAGTCTTGCTCTGTCACTCAGGCTGAAGTGCAGTGGCACAATCTCGGCTCACTGCAACCTCTGCCTCCCAGGTTCAAGCGATTCTCCTGCCTCAGCCTCCTGAGAAGCTGGGATTACAGGCGCATGCCACCATGCCAGGCTAATCTTTGTATTTTTAGTAGAGACAGGGTTTCACCATGTTGGTCAGGCTGATCTCGAACTCCTGACCTCGTGATCTACCCCCCTCGGCCTCCCAAAGTGCGGGGATTACAGGCGTGAGCTACTGTGCCCAGCCATTGTCACTTATTTTGGCCATTCTAATAAGTGTATAGTGATACCTCATTGTGATTTTAAATTGCATTTCCCTGGTGGCTAGTGATGAACATCTTTTCATGTGCTTATTTGCAATCTGTCTATCCTCTTTGGTGAAGTATTTCGTTTATGTCTTTTGTTCATTTTTTAATTTGATTTTTTTTTCTATTGAGTTTTAGGTACTACTAGTCTTCTGTCAAGCGTGTGGTTTACAGATATTTTCTCCCAGTCTGCAGCTTGACCTTTCATCCTCTTCACAGTCTTTCAAGAGCAAAACTTTTTACTCTTTTTTTTTTTTTGAGACGGAGTCTCGCTCTGTCACCCAGACCTAGACTGGAGTGTAGTGGCACAATCTCGGCTCACTGCAACCTCCACCTCCCGGGTTTGAGTGATTCTCCTGCCTCAGTCTTACAAGTAGCTTGGACTACAGGTGTGTACCACCATGTCCAGCAATTTTTTTTTTTCTATTTTTGTAGAGATGGGGGTTTGCCATGTTGGCCAGACTGGTCTTGAATTCCTGACCTCAAGTGATCCGCCCACCTCGGCTTCCCAAAGTGCTGGGATTACAGGAGTGAGCCACCACACCCAGCCAAAACTTTTTAATTTCAATGACGTCCATTTTATCACCAGTTTCTTTATGGATCATGCTTGGTATCAAGCCTAAGAACTGTTTGCCTAACCCTAGATCCCACAGATTTTCTCCTGTGTTTTTTTTTTCAGTAAAAGTTTCATAATTTTACATTTAGGTTTATGATGTATTTTGAGTTAGTTTTGTATAAGGTGTGAAGTTTAGGTGTAGAGTTGTTTTTTTTTTGTTTTTGTTTTTGTTTTTGCCTATGGATGCCTACTAGTTCCGGCGCCATTTGTTGAGAAGGCTATCCTTCCTCCATTGAATTGCCTTGGCACCTTTGTCAATAATCAGTTGAGAATATTTGCTTGGGTCTGACTGTGAGTTCTTCCCCCATTAGCTTTTCACCTAATAGGTTTAGCAGCCATTGATAATTTCTTTTCTTTTTTCTTTTTTTTTTTTTTTTGAGATGGAGTCTAGCTCTGTCGCCCAGGCTGGAGTGCAGTGGCGTGATCTCGGCTCGCTGCAGCCTCTGCCTCCCAGGTTCAAGCAGTTTTCCTGCCTCCGCCTCCTGAGTAGCTGGTATTACAGGTGTCCACCACCATGCCCGGGTAATTTTTGTATTTTTAGTAGAGATGGAGTTTCACCATGTTGGCCAGGCTGTTCTCGAACTCCTGACCTCAAGTGATCCACCCGCTTAGGCCTTCCAAAGTGCTGAGATTACAGGTGTGAGCCACCATGCCCGCCTGATGATCATTTTTTATTATAGGTTACAAAATGGTAGTAGTCCATTCCTTCATTTATTAGCTGGAATGCTTCTCTAAAAGACATTTTCCTCATCATCTCTTTGGTTGCTCTAAGTACAATTTATACAGGAGAATACAGGATAAATGTTTGCTTTCTTCCTTTCATATTTACCTGTTTGCAGAATAATGACATGGTTCCTTCCATCCTCCAAAGGTGACCAATAATAGTTTGTAAGTATCATTATGAACTAATGAATTTTCAACATATTTGATATATTTCAATCCATTGCCATCATTGTTCTTATCGATATTTGAGTTGGCTCACTTTGCCAGTAAGAGTCTATTCAAATTGGCTTCTGAGTCCATTTGACACAACACCTTTGATCTTTGACAGTTTCCTTGGTTTTAGGTGCTAGATGATTTCTCAGGCTCACCTTAGACATTTCCTGCCACAGACTTAGAATCAGCCATTTCTCTAAGGACCCTGATTCCATTTCATGAGAAATGATAGAGACCACAATCAAAACAAGTCATGAATTTATACTGATATTTTCAATTCAAATTAAAGATGAGGTTTTTGCTAAATTTTTTTGAGTTTATATTTGTATGTCTTATGCTGAAAAATCTTGTTTCCTAATTAGTAACATAATTATTCATTTGATGGGTAAATATTTTAGGGCCGATTCTTTGGTTTTATAGCCAAGATACCCTGTTGATAAAGTCTTGTGGGAGCAATTATAAGACTGGCTTATTTTGAAGCTTTTTAAAAAAGACATCCTTACCTGTTTTAACTGTAGATTATATTAACTTAAATAGGTACAGCCCACGCTTGATGGAAAAAATTCTCCAAATGGCTGAAGGTATTGATATTGGGGAGATGCCTTCATATGATCTGGTGCTGTCCAAACCTTCCAAAGGTCAAAAACGCCACCTCTCAACATGTGATGGTGAGTATACTTGTTTCTGAAAGGTGGGATTTGAAGAAACAACATGGCTTTAAAAAAATGATATGAGTGTGGTATAAGATTTCAAATAACATTGGTAACATTAGTTCTTACGGGTAAAAGAGTTTTAGCTTTTAATTATATACAATTTTTTGAGGATGCTAAATAGAATTGAAAACTAAGAATATTGAAATCATGTTATTATGCAGTCCTTGAAATTTATGTCATGGAACCGCCCTCTAAATAAAATCTTATACTGTGATCACTTGAGCATCTAAGTCACTAAATCCTCTTGGATGGGTCCAGGATGGACGAGCTTTCTACTGAGCAGTGTTACAGGGAGGAAGCTCTAGTGTCTAGTATAGCTTCATCAGAGTTCTTCCATAGCTTTAAATTTGGCATCTCACATAAATCATTAGTTTCCAGCTGTTGTTTGTTCTAGAAAGAAAATAGAGCAAACACCCTTTTGTGATGAATGGGTCAGAGCTGAGGTTTTGAAGTTGAAAACTTTCTGAATCTTTTGATAATTCTTTTTCTTTGATTTTTAGTCACAACTATGTAAAGCACCATCACAGAGTCACTCACCTCTGATACAAAAGAGAAAGGCTTTGTAACTGCCTCTGCTCATTATCTGTCTTGCATTAGAGCCATCTGTTCCATTTTCAATCCTTAAGTGAGCTTTTCAGCATGGGTGGTATGAGATTGTACTGGAACAATCTTCCAGTCCACTTCACCTTCCAGCACAAGTGAAGAGTATACTTCACCTGTGCTTTAGCTCATTTGATGCAAAAGCAGCTACCAGTCATGTGTGGTGGTGACCTGTATACTTGACTTAATGGTATATTTTCTATCAAGGGTCTTCCCTTACATGTGGAAAGACAGGGAGCATCCCTCCTTATGCTGGAATCTTACATTGATAATTGAGTCTCTTCACCCAAATGGCGTGAAGTTTTTGTGATGGAAGTATCTCGTACCAACAATGCAGCTTGCAAATAATATGGTTGGTACTATTTTCCTGCTTGGTTCTTTTGAAATATTCCCATTTTAATGAATTGTAAATTTCACTCATTCTATAGGTCAAAATCCTCCTAAAAAGCAAGCCGGTTCCAAATTCCATGCGAGACCTCGTTTTGAGCCTGTACATTTTGTAGCTAGTAGTTCAAAAGATGAAAGACAGGAAGATCCTTATGGCCCTCAAACAAAAGAGGTAAATGAACAAACACATTTTGCCAGCATGCCAAGAGACATCTACCAAGATTATACTCAAGACTCTTTCAGTATACAAGATGGGAATTCTCAGTATTGTGATTCATCAGGATTCATTCTCACAAAAGACCAGCCTGTAACAGCCAACATGTATTTTGACAGTGGGAACCCTGCCCCAAGCACCACATCACAGCAGGCAAACTCTCAGTCAACTCCTGAGCCTTCACCATCACAGACATTTCCCGAGTCTGTGGTAGCCGAGAAGCAGTATTTTATTGAAAAATTAACGGCGACAATCTGGAAGAACCTTTCTAATCCAGAAATGACTTCTGGATCTGATAAAATTAATTATACATATATGTTAACTCGTTGTATTCAGGCGTGTAAGACAAATCCTGAGTATATATATGCTCCTTTAAAGGAAATTCCTCCTGCCGACATCCCCAAAAATAAAAAACTTCTAACTGATGGCTATGCTTGTGAAGTTAGATGCCAAAATATCTACTTAACTACAGGTTATGCTGGCAGCAAGAATGGGTCCAGGGATCGAGCTACAGAGCTAGCTGTAAAACTCTTGCAGAAACGTATTGAAGTTAGAGTTGTCCGGCGGAAATTCAAGCATACATTTGGAGAGGACCTCGTGGTGTGTCAGATTGGCATGTCCTCCTATGAATTTCCTCCAGCTCTGAAGCCACCAGAAGACCTGGTGGTGCTGGGTAAAGATGCTTCCGGGCAGCCAATTTTTAATGCTTCTGCCAAACACTGGACCAATTTTGTCATTACAGAAAATGCAAATGATGCAATTGGTATCCTTAACAATTCTGCCTCATTCAACAAGATGTCAATTGAATACAAATATGAGATGATGCCAAATCGCACATGGCGTTGTCGAGTGTTTTTACAAGATCACTGCTTAGCTGAAGGTTATGGAACCAAGAAAACAAGTAAACATGCAGCTGCCGACGAGGCTTTGAAAATTCTTCAAAAAACACAGCCCACTTATCCATCTGTCAAAAGTTCACAATGCCATACAGGCTCTTCACCCAGAGGATCTGGAAAGAAGAAAGATATAAAGGATCTTGTAGTTTATGAGAATTCTTCAAATCCCGTGTGCACGCTGAACGACACAGCTCAGTTTAACCGAATGACAGTTGAGTATGTCTATGAAAGGATGACAGGCCTCCGCTGGAAATGCAAAGTGATTCTAGAGAGTGAAGTAATTGCAGAAGCAGTTGGGGTGAAGAAAACTGTCAAATATGAAGCTGCTGGGGAAGCTGTGAAAACCCTCAAAAAGACCCAGCCAACTGTCATTAACAACTTGAAGAAAGGAGCTGTTGAAGATGTGATTTCAAGAAATGAAATTCAGGGCCGCTCAGCAGAGGAGGCTTACAAACAGCAAATCAAAGAAGATAATATTGGAAATCAGCTGCTGAGAAAGATGGGTTGGACTGGTGGTGGTTTAGGTAAATCTGGTGAGGGCATACGGGAGCCTATCTCAGTGAAAGAGCAGCATAAGCGGGAAGGGCTTGGTCTGGATGTAGAGAGGGTGAATAAAATTGCCAAGAGAGATATTGAACAGATCATCAGAAACTACGCCCGCTCCGAGAGCCACACAGATTTGACTTTCTCTAGAGAGCTGACTAATGATGAACGGAAGCAAATACATCAGATTGCCCAGAAGTATGGTCTTAAGAGTAAGTCTCATGGGGTGGGCCATGATAGGTACCTAGTGGTAGGTAGAAAAAGACGGAAGGAAGACCTACTAGATCAGCTCAAACAGGAAGGCCAAGTGGGCCATTACGAGCTTGTTATGCCTCAAGCAAATTGAGATCTTACTAATTTATTTTGTAAATGCCTAATGAGGCAGATTTTTGAATTAAAGAAATGCTACATGTTCCGGTTGCAGAGTATATTCATAAGATGTCTCACCTTGTTCATTTCACATAGTGGTTTATTAGATATTGGAACCTAAAGAATTCTGTCCACTTGTATTAGCTTAATCCAGCAGATGATATTGTGCAGTTACTGTTTGTGTCTTTGATATTGCTGTGTCCCTCAGATTTTAGTAGTTTGACAAGCAAGAACACATATCCAAATGGAATTTTACCCTGAGAAATTATCATTTTAAAGGGCATAGCACAGCAATCTGCAACAATATGTAAAGTTGATATTGACTACAATAAAAATCCAGTCTTAATTCCAGATTTACTGAAAATGTCAGATCATTTTGTATTAATCTATTTTCATCTTTGTGTGAAGCCAGTTATAGAATGTTTGACAATAAATTGTGCTGTACACGTAAATGTCCTTACCAACTAAATGATGTAAAACTTTCTTAAAGTAATTTTAGTGTTCATTTATTTATAACTTCTACCATGTGATTTCCAGACTATTGGAAGTGATTTACTGTATCTTGTGATATATGGGTTTTAACAAATTCTAGTCTTCACGCTGAGAGAGCACTACTTGAGAGAGCAGTTGAAAGTTTCAAAAACTTTGGTTCAATCTGAAGAAAGGAAGCTTGAACTGTTTGTTCTTGGTGCCTTGCAGAGAGACTCACAGCAACTCTCCATTATAGCTTTCACACGGTTTGGATGTGCAGCACATCCAAGGCAACCACAGCTGTGGTAGAGCTTGGTAAAAGACTGAAGATACATTGGTGCTTTGATGAAAAGGTCAGTTGGCTGGTCCCTCTCTCAAAAAGCTTATTAAGCCTGAAAAGCCAACTTTGTAACATATTTAAAACTGCTATTTTCGCTTATTTCTGGAATGTAAAAAAAAAAAATGTATAAAAAGAATTAGTGTATGCTTCCTGAATAAAAAGGAGCCAAAGTTGATCAGAATGGTGGCGTGCTCATTTCCGGGCAGCAGCCTTGTAGCAACACTGGGTCTTTGGAGAAGGGAAGTGGTGTTTGCACAGAATAGTTCAGCACCCAGAGCACATGTGGATGAATGTCCGGATTTAACAGATAGGAATCAGTCAACTATCACTTTTTTCCTATGGACCAACATGCTGGCTTCAACCAAATCTTTGGCTGCCCCCTTTTATGTGATTTTATTTTTGTATCTCAGATAAATCAAGTATAACCTCATAACAGCACAGGTGAATTTACCATTGCTCACTAGACACCTCTAATGAAATGATGTTCAGGACAATTAGGTGGTTTACAGTGCTTGACAACATTTAGCACCGTGCTTGACATGTAATTGGCCAACAAGAAATCGTAATTTCCTTTCCCGTTTTTTGTTTGTTTGTTTTTGAGATGCAGTTTCGCTCTTCTTGCCCAGGCTGGAGTGCAATGGTGCAGTCTCGACTCACTGCAACCTTCACCTCCTGGGTTCAAACGATTCTCCTGTGTCATCCTCCCAAGTAGCTGGGATTACAGGCACCCGCCACCACGCCCGGCTGATTTTTGTATTTTAGTAGAGACGGGATTTCACCATGTTGGCCAGGCTGGTCTTGAAGTTCTGACCTCAGGTGATCTCCCTACCTTGGCCTCCCAAAGTGCTGGGATTACAGGCTTGAGCCACCGTGCCTGGCCCTGTTTTTTATATTTTACATTAAGCAGCTGCCCACTGTAGTTAAATTAATGCTTAAAAAATATAAAGGGATTAGCCTTTACACCTGGATTTCTGTAACTGGTACTCATCTACGGTAACTAAACAGTGTGATAATTGTTTTCCATTAACCGTCTTCCTACAGTGCATAGCCTTTCTTAATGTCGGTAGGAAGAGAAATGAGGTGTACATTTTATTTTGCCACTTCATATTAACATTGGCAAAAAAAACTAAGCAAAATGTTTATAGATTTTGTAGGATTACAATTTGTTTTTTGAGACAGGGTCCCACTCCGGTTACCCAGTCTGGAGTGCAGTGGCGCAGTCTTGGCTCACTGCAACCTCCACCTTCCGAGTAGCTGGGACTTCAGGTGCGCACCGCCTGGCCTGGCTAATTTTTTGTATTTTTAGTAGAGATGGGATTCTGGTCTCAAGCTCCTGGAGTTACGCAGTCCACCCTTCTCAGCCTCCCAAAGTGCTGGGATTACAGGCATGAGCCACTACACCCGGGCTACAATTTTGTTTTGTTTTTAATTTACAAGGTTCATGCCAACCTTCAGAAGCTATGGTTGAATTTGTGAGTTAGAAAAAAACCTGTTTTCAATTCTCTGAGTAAGAGTGGCTTTGGGATTAAGGGATATGAAAACTTCACTGATTACTCTCTTTACATTTCTTTCTTCCCCCAAATGATTTTGAGGCAGGGAAAGGTAGGGGATTGTTAAATATAATCTGGTTTGTCTAGGTGAGTCCAACAGAACAGAATATTAAGGTAGTTACAGTTAGGAAGGCTCCCAAATAATTGCACCAAGTAGATACAAATTTGGTTACTGGATTTGAGGGGCCAGATTGCCTAACTTCTTAGGATCTGTGATATTGATACAGAATTAGAGCAAAATCACTTAACTTGCTTGAGGATAAAATAATGTTGAGAATGGCGTTGGCATGAATGAGCTGCTGACAAGCTTGCTGTTGTTCCATTTTGTTCCATTTTGTCCCCTTTCAGTTGGTTACTGTATTTTCCCTTTCTTTGAAATGTAGTCATTCTTAACCCAGTAACCTTCCTATACAATCTGTACAGGTACATGAGCAATTTCAAATTTTATTTGGATTAAGTGTTTTTTATACTGAGGAACTAACTGTTCTTTCCATTTTATATCTAGCTTTTAGTATCACAGATCTACTTTTTGGATTTTTTTCCTCCCCTTTGATTGCAAAATGAATGGCAATATCATGCACTTTGTTGGGATTCTTTTTTAGTAGTATACAATGCATTCTCTTTGCTATGAGTAACCCCTGAAGCTGGAGATGGGTCCTAAATAAAGGATTCTAATTGCAGCTTTGGTTCTTCATCATACCTCCTTCCCCACATCAGCACGTGCAGAATTGAAAAGTTCAAACCTGACTGCCATTTGAAAAAGGGACATTGCAAATTTGTTTTCATTAACTTTGTTATCAATACATGTAGCCTGTGGTGTTAAAAATTTTAAAGGGAGAAAGAGGCAATTAGCATGAAATGTTCAAATGAATGGTTTGTGGTGCCTTTGACCATGCATATGTTGTTTTGGGAGGTCAGCTTGTTGGCTCTGTTGTAAGGTTTTAAATGGATTATCCTGTGAAAGAGATTGGGTATAGTGTTTCTCAGGTGTACAGAAGAAAAAAGTTATTAAACCTGACCATTCTGAGTCTCGCCTTACATTGTTTCAGGTATGATTAACAGTGTCAATTTAAAGCACTCAGCCACATAGCAGGATGAAAAAGTTAATGTAAAACTAATCCACCAAATAGAAAAATTTAATGTGGTTCTACTTTGAAGCAGAAATGGACTTGAGGGAAACTATTAAGCAAATTGAAGGACA
Organism: Homo sapiens; assembly: GCF_000001405.40. NCBI lineage: Eukaryota > Metazoa > Chordata > Mammalia > Primates > Hominidae > Homo > Homo sapiens. Next base: position 36,767 of record NW_025791817.1, on the reverse strand, counting down.
TTGCTCCTAGGTGAAACAATCCAAGTAATGTGGTAATTAGTACAGATTGTACTCCATACTGAGGCTTCAAGTACCATGTCTTAAAAGATGAGTGAGATACATGTGTCATAAGGACTTAACTTCATTTAGCCCCATCCACCCAACCAAACAAGTACCAAGAGGTGGTAGTTTTTACAAAGTCATTGTCCTTGCCTCTTTCAAATGAGATGGGTTGCTCCTCAGAAGAAAGTAGTTTTGTTTAATCAAAGTGATTGAGGATATCTGTACTCCCAAACTTTGCATAGGATTTAAAATACCATCTAGGCCGGGCACGGTGGCTCAGGCTTGTAATCCCAGCACTTTGGGAGGCCGAGGCAGGTGGATCATGAGGTCAGGAGGAGTTTAAGACCAGCCTAGCCAACACAGTGAAACCCCATCTCTACTAAAAATACAAAAATTAGCTGGGCATGGTGGCGAGCGCCTGTAATCCCAGCTACCCAGGAGGCTGAGGCAGGAGAATCGTTTGAACCCAGGAGGCAGAGGTGGCAGTGAGCCAAAATTGCACCACTGCACTCCAGTCTGGGCGACAGAGCTAGACTCCGTCTCAAAAAAAAAAAAAAAAAAAAAAAAAAAGTTTGGTACTGTTTGTTTTTGAGCTAGGGCTTTTAAAGAGGTGGTATGTCAGGATCAACAAGTTAGATCTTGGTCTCTGAGGGTGCTGATAAATACCTAGGTTGGTTTATCCCTGCCCCCCGCACGCCCCCCATAACCTCATTCCCTTGATTGATTATAATGTATACTGAGGTAACTTTATTTAATAATTTTACATTCTGTTAAATTTTTTTTTTTTTTTTGAGAGGAAGAAGTCTCACTCTGTCACCAGGCTGGAGTGCAGTAGCGCGATCTTGGCTCACTGCAACCTCCGCCTCCTTGGTTCAAGCGATTCTCCTACCTCAGCCTCCCAAGCAGCTGGGACTACAGGGGCATGCCACCACGCCTGGCTAATTTCTTTTTGTATTTTTAGCAGAGACAGGGTTTCACTGTGTTAGCCAGGATGGTTGATCTTCTGACCTCGTGATCTGCCCGCCCTGGCCTCCCAAAGTGCTGGGATTACAGGCGTGAACCACTGTGCCCGGCAACATATTCTGTTAATATATTTAAAAAGCATTACCACTTATGACTGGAAAGAAAAAAAAAGTTCTCTCCAGAAGTATCTGTCTTGTCTTTTCCCCTCCCAGAATGAGTATTTTTGCTTTTACCTTAATGTTTGAGGGGGGAAATGAGTACATATGAGATCCCAATAAGAAACCAATACAAAAAGTTTATACTGAGCTAAAAAAAAAAAAAAAAAGATACCTTGACTATGAAATTTTAAGGTTATTTTTATTTACAACTTTTGAAAAATGTACATTTTTTTTTACATGGGTTACTTGTGCAAAGTTAGATTTGGAAGTGATAAATGCATAAAAGGTGACAATAGAACATTAGACAAAACATTTACAAGCCTTGTCCCATACTGCTACTTAAAGGTACTATATATCTAAAAGTATAAATATCCAAAAAAAGATCGCAGACATTGGCTTTAAGGTTCTCAGATGCTGAAAGGGAAGAAATTAAAGCATGCAGCAATAACTCAGGATTTGAGTGGAAAATAGTTTGCCACAGATATGCTATGCTCCCTTCCTTGAATTCATTAAAACTCTAAAATAAAGATGGACAATTGAGTTTATTCACTTAGGGCAGCACTGATCCTTTAAAAAGATTAAAGGAGCTCCAACTTTCCCTAGCTCAAAAACTCACGATTGTTTCCATTCCTCTGCTCCCACACCTCTTTTAAAAAGCAAAAACCCAGAAGACCAATAATTCTGAAACTTGGCATGAGTGTGCCCAGTCAGCAGCTTGCAAAGAGAGGATGTGTCAGTTACTACAATTGCTGTACTCCTTTAGCTGAGTCCTTCAACTTTCTCCTTCTTGCCAGTAAATACTACGTTGTAATTCATATGACTGAGATCTTAGTATCACAGGATTTTTAGCTCCCATGCCTCCTTCAAAATTGTTTACATGGATTTGTTTCTATTCTCTGTAGGCCATATTCCAAACACATTCACTTCTAAATCCAACACAAGTGAAGGACCAGCCAGGATGAAACACTTCAGCAATCATTTTGTTAAAAATAACATCCTGGTCATCAAGCTAAGCATAAGCACCTCTTGTATAACAATTCATCTTAAAAGCTTAAAGTACAATAATAAAAATAACTGCCTGAAAACTGGAAATGAAATACAACAGAAAAACTGAAGCATTAGTAATTTTTGCAAGTAACCCAGGTACAGTACATTTGATTTCATAGAGGGTGTTTTCTGATGTTTAAGGAGAGGGTAGAAGGGGTAGGAAAACTTGGCAAGGAAGATGGAAACAGCACAACAGTTATTTTGCTTTTAATAAAGTAAATGTAATGACAGGAGTAGGGAGGTGACAAACACATCAATATATATTTTTCTTATGGCCAGCTTCTTTAAACTGTACCCGGGGTCAACAATCACGCCAGCTTTGTTCTACTATTGCAGAAACACGCTTTTCATATTCCCGTTTGTTCTCCTGGTACAGCTGAGCAGCCTGGCTGTTTGCTGGACTATTGGGATTGGGTTCATCCAACAGAGACTAAAGAGACAATTTTTAAAATGTCAGTTCCTTAATGCAAAACAACTATTTTATAAGGTAGTGACACTCAATTGAATTGTCCTAAGTACAGCTACATTTCTTGTCTTTAGCATACAAACCCAGAGTTATGTGAATCTGCTAGTAGCTAGGAAAATATATGCGGCTTTTTTTTTTTTTAAGGGAGAAGAGTCTCACTATGTTGCCCAGGCTGGTCTCAAACTCCTGAACTCAAGCAATCCTCCCACCTTGGCCTGCCAAAGTGCTGAGGTTACAGGTGTGAGCGACTGTACCCAGCTGACTTGGGTCTTAATGGTCTACTTTTCATCTATAAAACAAACAAGCTTTGACCAAAAATAAAAAGATCTATTACATTATGACTTTCAAAAACAATTCAATTGCTAATATAAACATATTAAAAGTTATAGTTCGTCACATTAAGGAAAAATTCACCTGTATGGATGTTAGAATGGAAGACACATCATAGGTTGGACTCCAACGGTTCTGAAGTATGTCCAGACATATACTACCATCTGCATAGACTAAGAACAAAGAAGTAGGTACATTAAACGTAACAAGACCACTAAGGTTTTAACATTATAGACAAAACAAAAATAGTCAAGAATACTTTGCTTTTGAAGTTTAAAGATTCCTATGTTGCTTCCCAGTTAACTGCCTAAAAAGATAAGTCATAACCACCACTAGTGAAATAATCAGGATGATCAGAGAATGTCAGATGTGATCAGTATAAAACTGGAAGATATTTAGTGTTCATCCTTTGGAAAAGGCTGCCCTATTATCCAGGAAATCAGAAACATTTTTGAACAGGGTCCCTAGCTATCCACAGACATGTGGGAAATTCATTCCACCAAATTTGTAGGCTGTATCCCCTATCTGAAATAACAAAAGATCACTCAGAGTTCACAAGATTTCATTTTGGCATAAAGATAAACATATCTGATACCCTGAAAAATACTTCATTAACCTAAATAAAAGGCAAGCTGTTCTAGGCTTACTACTATTTTAAAAAGTGCAAAGTGGTTAAGTTAGAATCACCTGTGGTGCTTTTCTGACAATACCGTATGCCTGGCCTTCAACAACAGAATCCTATTCATTAGGTTTGGAGTGGGGCGAAGGCATCTGTGTTTTTAAAATGTTCCACAGTAATTCTGATATGCGTCCAATGAAAACTACTTTTCTAAACGCTAGTGAAAATAATTACAACACAAGACTATCCCAATCTGGCCTAGCATTAAAAGGAAACCTCAAGAGCATCCTTCATTTTGTTTAATAAGTAAATGACAAAGGTCATCAAAATCAGGAGGCTCCCAGACTCCAAGCAAAGGGAAAATACCTCCACTGCTTCAGTTCTAGGACAAGACAGCCACAGACAACCAAGAACAAGTTCAGCTTTCAAGAAGCAGCAAGCTGCCTAAACAAATACTCAGGCACCACAAAATACACAGGAAATGTGGAATACTCCATAATAAACACTATAGTAGTTTAAAACACTGTACTAAAAGTGATACTTGCCATTTGGATGGAACATCTTAGAGACAAATCTAACTGTAGGTGGTTTATTTGGATATTCTTCAGTGAATTCTATTGTAAGTTTAAATGTTCCTGTGGTTAGAAAAGAAAGATTTAAGAAAATGTATTTATCACTTTGTTCAGTAGTACTTTGTTTTTAATGCTATGTGGGTTTTTCCAAGTATTAAATAATGCAAAGATACAGGGTAGAGAGGAAAGGCCAGGTAAGAAATACATCTCTAGGAATTGCTCTAAGAACTACTCAAATGTGATTTTTTGTTTTGCCATTATTTTCCCCCAAACTTGGAGACAGCCATCATAAACACAAAATTACTGCTTACAAGATTTTAGCCACTGTACATTTTGAAAACATCCTTAAGAAACTGGGCCCAAAATTTGGCCTTCTTCCTTTAGAAGACCAAAAGACCTCAAAGGCCTATGTTAGTCAGCTGCCATCTTAAACGCTCCAGTGATTTTTAGACAGACTAGAAAGAATGAAAGCACAATGGTTCAAAAACCAATGCCAGAATACAAATCCATAATCAAGTTATTTTTAAAATAGAAGGGAATAAGTATAAAAGTGTTCATACTGGTTCCTTTTCATGTCATAGTGACCCTATAATGAAAACTTAATTGAATTTAAGCCAGGAAAAACTTCATAGTCCCTCTCAGAAACCCTTAAGTATGGCTCATAAGGTACTTCACTATAAAATCAACTCAATTATTCACACATATGGAGGGAATTAATGGCAGAAATAATTTTAAAATCACATTTGGTTTAGATTGCATTCATGTTTCCAGCAAATTTATTTTTCTAATGTTTATGCTACTATTGAAATGAAATTATTTTTCTTAAATATATGTCAACCTAAGGTAGCAGGAGGCCCTAAAGCATAGTAGGTTATAAACTTACTTACAAGGCATGGACAAACTGGATCTCATTCAAGAATTGTTAAGATGTGATATGAAGAGATTATGTCCTTTAAAATATTATTTTCAATTGTTTGTTGAATAAATTGAAGAACACAATTGAGCAATGTTTTTTCCTGACTGAAATCTGTTCAAGTAAACTTAGAAGAATCAGTTACTATATGGTATAAGGTGATGCATGTTCCACTATATTACTCTGGTCCATTTAACAAATTATTCTAAAACAACAGACCATACTTCAGTGTATTTCTTACTGGTTCCTTCAGAGTTAGCAATTTATTTCCTTTTTGTTCTCATTAAAAGGTTTATCACTGCTTAAGAAAGAGAGAAGACTATAATCATTCTAGGACTAGATCTGTGACAAAACAGTATCAAAAAGTTTGTTTTTAGCAAGCTCATTGGAAACAATTTGCTAACAAAGCTGCCCTTACTATGAACAAGTGTCTCAAAGCTTCAAAATAATATAAAATGCAACATACAGAGACATTATATTCCTCAAATTATTGTTACTCCCTATTTTCTTTTCAAAGCCAGACCTGAAGATACTATGTATTATAACTAAGAAAGTAAAATCTTATGGAATGGACAAACATATGCCCATTAGAAGTATGGAAGTATGTCCATCAGAACATACTTCACCTTTATCACCACCTGGTCATAAATCTTCCTCTTTCTGAGGAAGAAAGCACAGTTCTTCCTTTTCAGTATTTATTGACACTATAATATGCAAGAAAAAGTGGGAATGTGTTAGAGTTCAAAACTTTGAGTTTCCTTATGTATTATGATCTCAAGTGTAAACACATTTGGATCAATGTTGCAATCTGACTAAATTATGGGTAAGAGACACTGCTCTAAAACTGGGCAGATGTAATAGCACATGGAGATCCCAGCTACTTCAAAACCATCACTAAATATGGTATCTAAAGGTAGTAAAGCAAGACATAGGGAAGCCATAAGCAAAAACAGTAAAACACACTGCTAAGAGCATGAGCTCTGCAGTCAGACAGGTCTGGGCCCAAGTCCTTGCTTTGGTACTTACTAGCTGTGAGACTTTGGGGAAGGTGTTCTCCTTGACTAAACCTTAAGTTCCTCATTTGTAAAATGAGATTAATCATAGTACCCACCATATAGCATTGTTGTGAGGTTTAAATGAGAGGAATATGCATAGTTCCACAAAGTTAAGTGCTCCAAAACCATGAGCAACTATTTTTGCTATAATAATTCTAAAGTTTCACATCTCTAGACTCAGCTGAAGGAGGCAAAACCCAAAAATCAGAACTATCAGTAAGAAATATACAATTAAGGCATTCAGATATTAAACAGTACTTTTAGGTCTACATCAAACACTCACAGTTCAAAGCAAGTTGAGTACCTATATTGGTGGCTCACAAGTTCCTTGACTTGAGCTTTCTGCATACACTTGCCCAGAAGTTCAACTAAGTGATTACCTAGCTACCAAAGAAGTTAATCGCAAGTCTTTTAAAACAGTTCACTTAATATCTTGAGAAGTGAAGCAACCTATTTATGTCTACTTGAATATAAATTAAGACAACCCAAATCTTATTCAAGGTACACATTAAAAAGAGGGTAAAAACTTCACACTTTTAGTCACACTAATCAGAACCTGTTTAGTATAACCTTCAATGTAATTTCTAAGCTCTAAAACAAATGTTAAGGGAATTTAAAATCCCAGAATTAGTATTATGCAGTCTTGAGACTACAGCTTACCCTCTGAATATTTAGAAGGCTAGGCTTTAAAATAACTGAAAATTTAAGCCTCACCATTGTTGTACATAATGTATACTAATTTTGTTCATCTTCCCGAGGAGGCTAAGACATCGTAAGGAAAGTATCAATTAATCCATCTATACAGGGAGACCACCAAAATTACATAAACGTGTTAAGTGACTGGTGTATGGCAATAAGGAGTGATATGGTTGAACTAGAGGGGGTATATGTTCTGCCTAAAGACACTCACAAAGTCAAGTTTTGGAAAATACTGTGTTGGCCAAAGAAAACACACCTGCAGGTGTTTTCTGCCATTTGGCCACCAGTTTGTGACCCCTGAGAAGAAAGCAAAATACATATAACTTCAAAATTATTTTTGATGACTGAAAATCGATTTTTCAAGTAATATCCAAAACTCTTCATCATAGGATTTATTTATATTTAAAACACTCTTAGTGGACTTTAGAGATTCATTTTGAAAAAGATTTTATGACTCAGAAACATTTCCAAAAATTAAAAAAAAATAAAAACGATTTATACCCCAATTCTAAAGAACACATCTATTATGAAAAGCAAATACCAGTACCTTACCATGTCTATTAACAATTTTTAGATTATGTGATGAAGATTATATTCCATAACCTTTGTATTTAGCATGTATACCAAGATATTCTGATGAGGAAGCATTTCTCCCCAATGTTTTGGTAGTGTAAGCTCTTGAGAATATATTCCTCTTACTTCGAGTGTGTGAAGTTAAACCAAAATACCCTTAAGTGTTGCTTGTCTTAAGATTTCATCACTCTAACTAGGACCTGGTTGTTCCAGAAACTTCCATAACGAACGGTTTACAACAAAGAAGCAAAAGTAGTTTTGGGGTTCTTAATTAATAACATAATACATTGGAAACAGCAAAATCAACTATGCCACTTATCCCTAATCAGTCTTTTCTCTAACTGTAAATTCCCCAACTATAAATAAAGGGTATTCAAAAAATGGTTAAGGCTGGGCACGGCTGCTCATGCCTGTAATCATAGCACTTTGGGAGGCCGAGGTGGGCGGATCACCTCAGGTCAGGAGTTCGAGACCAGCCTGCCCAACATAGTGAAACCCCCTCTTTACTAAAAAATACAAAAATTAGCTGGGCATGGTGGTAGGTGCCTGCAATCCCAGCTACTTGGGAGGCTGAGGCAGAAGAATTGCTTGAACCTGGGAGGCAGAGGCTGCAGTGAGCTGAGCTCGTGCCACTGCACTCCAGCCTGGGTGACAAGAGCAAAACTCCATCTCAAAAAAAAAAAAAAAAAAAAAAGCTAAAATTTTTTTTGTGGGGGAACCACAGGCCACAGTGTTCCAGACACCTGAGGAAGCATCCATCGGTAGCAGACTGTTCAACAGAACAAATCAGCCTGAGTAATTCCTTTCAGTAATGCTAGGATGGAGATACACATCATCAAAAATAGAACCAGTAATGTCAAAGGTGACAGTCCTGGTAGATAATGGACTCTGTAAGTACCTTTTCAATTCATACCACTTAAGAGAAGCACCCTTGAAATATTTAGGTAGCCAATCCCCAGCAAAGTGATGTACTATTAATAAAGCTGTGCCCAGCATAAAACAGAGTAAAACGAGGAAAAAAGAAGCCAATGAAAACAAGGCCTACTAGAGCTAAAGCAAACACAGTTAATCTGTACATTTAAAGCTCAGGTATAAAGAACTAGTGCTCGCCGGGTGCGGTGGCTCAAGCCTGTAGTCCCAGCACTTTGGGAGGCCAAGGCGGGTGGATCCCAAGGTCAGGAGTTTGAGACCAGCCTGGCCAACATGGTGAAACCCCGTCTCTACTAAAGATACAAAAAATTAGCCGGGCGCGGTGTCGCACACCTGTAATCCCAGCTACTCAGGAGGCTGAGGCAGGAGAATCGCTTGAACCTGGGAGGCGGAGGTTGCAGTGAGCCGAGATCACACCATCGCACTCCAGCCTGGGTGACAGGGCGCAACTCCGTCTCAAAAAAACAAAAACAAAAAACAAACAAACAAAAAAACTAGTGCCAATCTGGTAGAAGAAAATTAAGTCTAGCTATAGTTTTTTGCTACAAATCAGTTCAAATGATTAACTGCGCCAAAGTAGTATGCCCTTACAATCACTGTTTCCTGCTGTCATTTCTTTTCTTTGCAGCCCTGAAGAGTAATGATATTTACCCAGGGGGTAAAGGTAAAGAGGAAGCTAAAAATATTCAGGTGACTGTCCACAGTTTCCTGGGGAAATCTAAGTACTTGAGATGAATTACAGACTTAGTTGAAATTGACTTACCTCACAACATTTTGTGGACTGGTAGCATCAAAAAGCAATCCGGCTCAGCAACATAAGTATGTATTAAGTAGTTTGCAGAAATGTTTTTGTTCCCACCTTCAAACTGAAGTGTGTGTGTGTGTGTGTGTGTGTATAAATGCTATGTGACCGAAGGAAATCATTGAGGAAAAAAATAACAGAAAGATCCTTTTCCTTTTTTTTAAAACCTCAAATATTAAAGAATTTCATGAGTTCAAATACTTTAATCATCCTTTAAATGTATTAAACTTTCAAAAAACAACCACACACACACACAACTGAGTGTAGAACTATCAGTGTCATTTTTCCGGTTGTGATAGGGTCTAGTCATTCAAGATGTTACCAAATGGGAGGGTTTGGGTAGAGGACTGGGTTAAGGGTATAAAGGGTGTCTCTATTATTTCTTGCAACTGCATATGAATCTATAATTATCTAAAATCAGAAAGTTTTTAAAAAGCAATTTACACGTGTTTTTAAAAGTTAAACCTAAATCAATTAAAAATTATGTACCTACTGGTACATGTAGTACTTTCAGGTAGGCAGGACACTGATCAAAAGGGTACATTAAGGCTAACTTCAATTGTGAAGCTGCTTTGAAATTACTCATCATAACGTCTTGATGAAAGCACACACTGCAAATTCACTTAAAAATAAGAAAGAATACTGTACTCAAATGAGGCATTTAAGACCATCTTAGAGCAGTGAGGCTGACAGGCATTCAATGTCAGATTGTAGAAACCAGACAGTTGTACGCAAGGGATTCTCGCATCCACTCAACATCCAACACACATCTACCAAGCACCTGCTGAACACAACTCCTGCCCTTGGGGTAGAATTCTGAACCAGATGGTCTCTGGGGTCTCTGCTGCCTATCAGCAACTGGTTGGGTTTATACTAATTCAGTGATGGAGGGCTGAATTTAGCAGAATTACAGCCCAAGCCTCAAAAATCCTTAATACCAGTGCTATGATTGCTCCTTTTAAAAAGTGACTGCCTTACACAGATTTTTTTTTTAAGAAAGCAAGAAGAAAGGTGCAGTTCTAGTCAAGCATACAATATCCAGAACCACCAGCCACACACTGCATTCCACTCAAGCCTTTAGCAGACAGAGGCTAGGCAGAGGCAGGTTCCTAAGCAGGAGACACTTCCAGGATGACTGGGAACCCTTTCCCCAGATGACCAGGCTCCTGAAAAGTGGGTAAAGAAACTCTCTCTTACCATCCTCAAACGGGGTCCCTTCAGGCCTGCAACACAGAGAAAAATGGTCAGTTCCCACTTAAGGGGCCCCCTTCTCCCTGCTTCATCTGAGATGGCTATCCCGAGCTCTGCCATCTCCAGCACCGCTACCGGGGTCGGAAGCCACTACAAATGGATGTCCCGGGCTCAGAGACACAGGGCAAGCCGCCGCGCCTAACCGCCACCACTCCCCGCCCCGCCCCCCTAGAACCCCAAGCGGTTCCCCCTGGCAGCGGGAACTGAGCTAATCGAGGCACAGGCTCCGGGGAGGCGCCTAGGCCCAGCCAGACCCAAACATTTTCCCCTACCCGCTCGGCCTCCGCGGGGGGCCCGCCCCGGAGCGCAGACCGAAGCTGCTCGCGTCCCCAGTTTTCTCGCCACCGCCACGAACGCAGACTCACCCGAAAATGACCGCGTTCCACACCATTATGTTGTTCTCGGACGGAGCCCCGCTGACTCCGGCTGGAGGATCCTCCTGCAACCTTCGGGAAGACAGACAGGGGTCCCCCTAGGCCGGCACTGGCGCCCGCTCCCGGCCGCTCCCCAGCCCTCCCCGCCCGGCGCGCCTCGGGACCCGCCCTGTGCCCCAGCTCGCAACCCCCGGCCTCGGCCGTCCCCTCGGTTTACCTCTTGAAGTCCCGCATGAGGCGCCGCCGAGCCGGGGTGGACATGTCGCGAGCGGGGTCAGGGGTGGGGCATACACTGGGGTCTCGGGTTCCCGCGGCGGGCGAGGAGGCCGAAGAGGCTGGAGAAGCAGGAGAAGGGGAGGCGGAAGCACCCAGAGGAACCGCGCTGCCTCTCCGAAGTCGAGGGTCGGTCTGGCGCCGGCTAAGCACCACCCCAGTGTAGACGGGGGCTGAACCAACCTGAGAGCAGAGAGAGGGGGGTGGAACGTCGAGCGCCGGACAGGCCGTACCAAGACGGGGCGGGGGGTGCGCGAGGAAAGTTGCTTATGTCATTAAAGCCCCACGGGAGGCCCGGGGCGGGGCCGCGAGCGCAGAGGCGTAGGGTACGCCGGAGCCCCGGGCGCTGGAGGAGCTCGTGGTGGAACGGGGTCCATCCCCACCTGCTAATTCTAAGGCAAACCCTGGGAAGTTTTCGGCTTTTTTTCTTTTTCTCTTTTTTTCTTTTTCTATTCGTTTTTGTTTGTTTTGTGACCAGATCATTCATGAAAGCGCGCACTATGCCCGGGGAGGAGAGGGGAGAAGTTTGGAAGTCCCAAACTAGAGGACGAAGGAGTGGGCGGAGGTAAAACCGGTTCTCAAAAAGCGGCAACTCTAGGGTGCACAACCCCTTCGGACACCGGAGACTGGGGTCGGAGGGGTGGGGAGAGGAGTGATTGGTTAAAATCACGGAAAATCAAAAGAATAAATCGGCCTTGACTATGACGGGGGGGCGGGGCGGGGCTGTGGGATTGAATGCAGGATTGGGCGCTCAACGTTTAGGCCAATGATCACCCCAGGGCAGAATGAAATAGTGTTGTATGTCCTGTGGGAGGGAATGGGAGCTTAAGGCAGGCGGAGTAGGGTTTTGTTTTGTTCTGTTTTGTTTTGGGCACTCACAATTTGGCTCTGGAACCACATTTCCCCTTGGTAGTTCAACAAGCCAAGCGGCTATTTATGTTCAGAAGAGTCCAAGATATGAGACTATCCGACTGCAGGGAGTTGCAAGGACAGTGGGTCTGAAGTAAAAGGAACGTGGAAAAGCTGCAGGTTGCAGGAAGAGTCACAGTCCGTGGACCTGCAAAAGCAATAACAGTTTTAAAGGATAATTTTTAAAGGTCAACCCAAAATAACTTAGAAGATAGGCATAATACACATTTAAAAATTATTGAAAATAGGAGAAAGGTAGATTTGGGTTAAGTCATCAAGAGTTTTGAATGCCAAGCTAATGGATTCCTTGGAAGTCCATTGAGCAGGGAAGTGACATCATTAGAGCTGTCCTTATCAGAGATTGGTCTCAAGAGAGCAGGCAGGAGACTCTTGCAGTATCTAGGTGCGAGATACTGAAGCAGGCAGTGACAATAAAGGCGAGGATATGAATGAATGGGGAGGACTTGGCAACAGGCTGAATATGGGGCAAGAGAGAGGAAGGAGTCAACAGTGGCTGAAACTCTAAGCCCCGAGATAACTGGGGTTTTGAAGGTGCCATTAACAGAATTACAGAATAGAGAGAGAGGGACAAGTTTGGAAAAGGAAATTTTGGGTGGGACTTACTGAGTTCATGGGACTGGTGAGACATCCCCGTGAAGATGTCCAGAAGATATCAGATGTGCAGGAATTTGTTTCTAACATGAGAAGCAGGAGGCACTTGACAATGGTAGTGATTCTAGCTGCTGCTTAACAACAGGTACTTTCATGGTCAAGGATTTCTATCTCCCATTAACTCCAACATATCAGTTAAGGCAAGTCTCCCTAATAGCATCACATTATGGCTGTAGTAGGAAGGGGGTACAAAAATTAAAAAAAAAAAACTTTTTTTCCTCTCATCTAAGAACTTGCAGTCTACTAACACACACATACACACATATGAAATCAACAAAAGCAAGATCTACAAAAGCAAGTATATTCGTTTTCATCACTGCTTAACAAATTACAAGTTGTTGGCCAAGCCCAGTTCATTGCAGTTGTAGGACTTTGGTCCCTATTTCCTTACTAGCTGCCACCTGGGAACTACTCTCAGCTCCTAGAGGCCGCCTGCATTCCTTGCCAAGTGGCCTACTCCATCTTCAAAGTCATCAACAGAGAATTTCTCTCCCACCACATCCCTCTCACTCTTTGAATCTTGTTTTCAGGAAGAGCACAGTCTACTTTAAAGGCTTATCAGATTATGTCAGGCCCACCCCATGGATAATTTCCCTATGTTAAAAACATCTAAGTTGGGACCTTTATTATGTCTGCTAAATTTTTTCACTGCAGAACCTAGATTAGTATTTCATTTAATAACTGGGAGAAAGTGTGTGTATATACCAAGGACCAAGAATCTCAGGGGAGGGTAGCATCTTAGAAGTCTGCCTACGACAGCAACAGCAGAACCAGAACGGTTTCAGATTTCCTTTTTTTTTTTTTTTTTTTTTCAGATTTTGGAATTATTTGCATTATAAAAGTTTCAGGTTTTGGAGCATTTCGGATTTTAGATTTTCAGATTTGAGATCCTCAACTTGTAGAAGTGTGTGAAACCACAGATGCTGAGAGATTGCACAGCAGAGGAATCGTCATTCTGGTGGGATCAGGACAAGCTTCCTGAAATGGGTGTATTTCAATTTTGTTTCAACAGAGATGAAAGCGGAGCTTGAGAGAGAAGAACTTAAGCAGTTTATATGGGGGCAATGGCACAGACAAGGGCATGGAGCTAAACCCGTGGGCAGATGAGCTTGGCTAATGGACAGGTTCTTGGCTGGGGAATGATGAGACCTCAGCTAGGAAAAGTGAGGGTGACAGAAGTTGATTAAATGCCCTCAAATGCGAGAATGGGGAATTTAGGCAGCTTTTATAGGTGTTTGAGCATGAGAGAGATGTATTGAAAATATCCTGGCCGGGCGCGGTGTCTCACACCTGTAATCCCAGCACTTTGGGAGGCCAAGGCAGGTGGATCACGAGGTCAGGAGATCAAGACCATCCTGGCTAACATGGTGAAACCCCGTCTCCACTAAAAATACAAAAAATTCTCCGGGCGTGGTGGTGGGCGCCTGTAGTCCCAGCTACTCTGGAGGCTGAGGCAGGAGAATGGCGTGAGCCCGGGAGGTGGAGCTTGCAGTGAGCAGAGATCGCGCCACTGCACTCCAGCCTGGGCGACAGAGCAAGACTCCATCTCAAAAAAAAAAAAGAAAAAAAAGAAAAAAAAGAAAATATCCTTTTGAGGCCAGGCATGGTGGCTCACGCCTATAATCCCAGCACTTGGGAGGCCGAGGCAGGTAGATCACCTGAGGTCAGGAGTTCAAGACTAACCTGGCCAACATGAGGTAACCCCATCTCTACTAAAAATACAAAAAAATTAGCTGGGCGTGGTGGTGAGGACCTGTAGTTCGAGCTACTCGGGAGGCTGAGACAGAAGAATCGCTGGAACCCAGGAGGCGGAGGTTGCAGTGAGCGGAGGTCATGCCACTACACTCCAGCCTGGGCGACACGACCAGACAAAAAAAAAAGAGAAAGAAAAAGAAAATACCCTATTAAGAAGCGGCATGTACCGTACTAAAAAGTATGAAAGGGACTGAGAAGCTCCTGCTACTGGATATACATGTCTGAAATTTATTGAAGGATATAGATGTATGTAAGTTTGTTGTGAGCTTGTCTGTTTTTTGAAACCCCCTTTCTCTTCCTTTCTTGGACTTTCTTCCTTTCAAGAAAACTAAGGGCTGGGCTCAGTGGCTCAAGCCTGCAATCCCAGCACTTGGGGAGGCCAAGTGGATCACCTGAGGTCAGGAGTTTGAGACCAGCCTGACCAACATGGAGAAACCCCGTCTCTACTAAAAATACAAAATTAACCGGGCATGGTGGTGCATGCCTATAATCCCAGCTATTCCAGAGGCTGAAGCAGGAGAATTGCTTGAACCCGGGAGGCGGAGGTTACAGGGAGCTGAGATCGCACCATTGCACTCCAGCCTGGGCAACAAGAGCGAAACTCCGTCTCAGAAAACAAAACACAAACAAACAAACAAAAAAACTCAGGAGCATGACCCAAATGGTTGGAAGCCCCCTGGCACCTGCATGGGAGTAGCATTCTCTGACTAAGGAATGAAACTGCATTGCAGGAACACCGTGCCCCCACATTCCTCAGCAGAAGCAGGGTTGTCATAGCAAGCAGCAATACAGAAGATTGTTTTCCAGCATGATGATTATCAGGCTAGAACATACTAACTTTAGCACAGTTTGGCCAAGCATTCTTTCTACCCTTTTTTCACCTTGACATCTTGAAGAAATACCCTCTTCACAGCCAAGCACCACCCCTACCCAAGAGCAGGGGTCCAGAAAGGATAAGTCTCCTCAATTTAAAGAAAAGTGGGCTGGGCACAGTGGCTCATGCCTGTAATCCCAGCATTTTGGGAGGTGGAGGTGGGAGGATCGCTTGAAGTGAGGAGTTTGAGATCAGTCTGGGCAAAAATGCAAGACTTGTCTCAAAAAAACCAAAAAAATTGTGAAATTTCATTCATGAAGATTTCAACATGAAAAATAGATTTTTATTTTCCTGAAGTATTTTGGGTTAGGAGAAGAGACGAAATTAAAGATCATTTCTTGCCTTATCAGGCTGTAAGTTTGTATTTCTGTTATCCAGTGAAGGCAAAGGACTTTTACTTTCCTACGGTTTTCACCTCTGTTGATAAAATTTAGTACAAACAGCAACAAAGCACCAACAGAAAATAAAATCGAAAGGTCTTTCTTGACTCAAATAATCTCAGAAAATATTTCAAGAGAATTACTTTTAGGAAGTAACAGTTAGCAAAGTGTGTGCTCTTGCTCTTGACAACTTGTAGTATGTTGTTCATCTTCAGCCTCTAGGACATAAGTGGTGGGGGGAAGAGAGAGAGACAAAGAGGTTGGGATGGAGGGAGGGGAATATCAAAGCTGAGGGAAATGGGGAAATTAAGGCCTTGAAAATGGGATTTCAGGCCAGGCACAGTGGCTCACGCCTGTAATCCGAGCACTTTGGGAGGCCGAGGCGGGTGGATCACCCGAAGTCAGGAGTTTGAGACCAGCCTGGCCAGCATGGCGAAACCCCGTCTCTACTAAAAATACAAAAAAATTAGCTAAGCGTGGTGGTGCGTGCCTGTAATCCCAGCTACCTGGAAGGCTGAGGCAGGAGAATCGCTGGAACCTGGGAGGCAGAGGCTGCAGTGAGCCGAGATCACGCCACTACACTCCAGCCTGGGTGACAGAGCCAGACTCCGTCTCAAAAAAAAAAAAGGATTTCACTACCTGCTAAATTACTGAATCAAAGAAAACAAAGGCATGGTGTGGTATGCTGAATAATGCACAACCCTGCCCCCTCCGCCCCCCCAGCCAGATCTCCATTTCCTTATCTCTGTAACTGGTGAATATGTTACCTTACATGGCAAAAGGGACTTTGCAGATGTGATTAAATTAAGAATCTTGACATGGGGATATTATCCTGGATTAAAGGGGTGGGCCTGAGGCAATCAAACCAGTCCTTATACGAGGGATGAAGTAGGAGTCAAAGAGGAGGCCATGTGATGACTGAAGCAGAGATTGGAGTGATGTGGCCACCAGGGAAGGAGCCAAAGTATGTCTGCAGTAGGAGTTGGAAGAGGCAAAAGATGGAAGCCTGAAGCCCCCAGAAGCAATCAGACCTGCTGACACCTTGACTTTAGACCACTGATATTGGTTTTGGACTTCTGATGTCCAAAACTCTAAGATAATACATTTGTGTTGTCTTAAGCCACCAAGTTTGTGGTAACTTGTTACAGCAGTAATATGAAACTAATACACATGTCTACCATGTTGTACATGGGAATTCAATCAAACCAGCCACATCCATCAGACCAGGGCTCAGCAAACTGCAGCCAAATCTAACCTGCCATTATTTGTCTATGGCCTACAAACTAAGAATGGCTTTCTATATTCTTAAACGGTTGAAAAAAGTCAAAAGATTTAATAATATTATAATGTACATCAATGTTACCAGACTAAGCATTCATCACAATATTCCCAACTCAGAGGAGAGCAATGGCTAGTAAAATTTAAAATTTTAAGTAGAATATCTTATTATGGCAAAATTCATAATAAAACTAAAAAATAGGCCAGGCGCATTGGCTCATGCCTGTAATCCCAGCACTTTGGGAGGCTGAGGTGTGTGAATCATGAGGTCAGGAGTTCCAGGCCAGCTTGGCCAACATGGGAAAACCCCATCTCGGCCGGGCGTGGGGGATCACGCCTGTAATCCCAGCACTTTGGGAGGCCGAGGTGGGCGGATCACGAGGTCAGGAGATCGAGACCATCCTGTCTAACACAGTGAAACTTCATCTCTACTAAAAATACAAAAAATTTGCCGGGCGTGGTGGCGGGCGCCTGTAGTCCCAGCTACTCGGGAGGCTGAGGCAGGAGAATGGCGCGAACCCGGGAGGCGGAGCTTGCAGTGAGCCGAGATCGCACCACTGCACTCCAGCCTGGGCGACAGAGCGAGACTCCGTCTCAAAAAAAAAAAAAAAGAAAAAAAAAAAAAGAAAACCCCATCTCTACCAAAAATACAAAAAGTAGCTGAGTGTGGTGGCGCATGCCTGTAATCCCAGCTACTCAGGGGGCTGAGGCAGGAGAATTGCTTGAACCTGGGAGGTGGAGGTTGCAGTGAGCCGAGATCACGCCACCGCCCTCCAGCCTGGGCGAGAGAGCGAGACTCCATCCCCCGCCCCCCCCAAAAAGGAAAAAATAAAAATAAGCCTATAGTCAAAGTAAGTTTCTGAGTGGCTCCTTTGTTAGCCAACCAAGGAAAGTCATTTACTGATACTGAGCTAAATTGTGTTTGGCTGCAGAAGTCAAAGAAATAGGCTCAAGAAAAATAAAACTTGTGAAGACTATTCACCTTTCAGCAAGAACAGTGGCTCTAAGAGTTGAGGACATTGAAATCAACATCAAAACAAAAACAAACAAACAAAAAAGGGCAAGGCACGGTGGCTCACACCTGTAATCTCAGCACTTTGAAAGCCTGCAGCAGAAGGATTGCTTGAGCCCAACAGTTCAAGACTACCCTGGGCAACACAGCAAGACCTTGTCTCTACAAAAAAATTAAAAAAAAAATAGCCGATGTGGTGGTGTGCATGTGTGGTCCCAGCTACTAGGGAGGCTAAGGTGGGAGGATCACTTGAGCCCAGGAGTTTGAGGCTGCAGTGAGCTGTGATCATGCCACTGCACTCCAGCCTGGGTGACAGAGCAAGACCCTGTCTCAAAAACAAAAACAAAAACAAAGCAAATGATTTCAAGTGGTTTTCCTTGGCTCCTGATGAATGTTTACCAATATTACTCAGTTGTTGTTTTTTACTCAAGGAGTCAATGTTGACTTTAAAGTGACTGAAGAATTGGACCGGGCGTGGTGGCTCACGCCTGTAATCTCAGCACTTTGGGAGGCCGATGTGGGCAGATCACTTGAGGTGAGGAGTTTGAGATCAGCCTGACCAACATGGTGAAACCCTGCCTCTACTAAAAATACAAAAAAAAAAAAAAAAAAAAAAATTAGCCAGGCATGGTGGCATGTGCCTGTAATCCCAGTTACTCAGGAGGCTGAGGCAGGAGAGTTGATTGAACCTGGGCGGTGGAGGTTGCAGTGAGCCAAGATTGTGCCACTGCACTCCAGCCAGCCTGGGTGACAGAGCCAGACTCTGTCTCAAAAAAAAAAAAAAAAAAAAAAATTGGCCTGGGTGTATGGTCTTGTGTGGAACAACTGCAGATGAGAGTATTTCAAAGAAGTCAGGAAAACACTAATTCAATTCAGTCTAAAGCATAATTTGCTAAGATGTATTACAAATATGTATGGAGCAGAAAAGGTTTAGACAAATGTACAATACTTGTCAAAATGTAAGTTGTTTAAAATCCTGTAGTTATTAATTGTATTATTAAACAGCAGGTACTTTGCAACAAACAAACAAACAAACTTGAATCTGTCTTGTGTTATTCTTGACAGTAGTGTCAACAGTGAAGTTCAGCTGGGCGCGGTGGCTCACACCTGTAATCCCAGCACTTTGGGAGACCAAGGTGGGTGGATCACGAGGTCAGGAGTTCAAGATTTTAGAAAATTTGAATTTGAATTTGAATTCAAAATTTTAGAAAATTTTCTAAATGAGAAGAACCCCACCCTTGACCACTATTATTGAACATGAATAGTTTTAAAAAATGGCTTTTGCCATAGACTTAGTAATGTTCCTTAATGAATTTAACCTAAAATTACAAGGCAAAACAGTGTTTATACCTGAAACCTGTACTGCAGTAAAGTCATTCAATGACATCCCACATTGTTTGAATCACAAACAGTGTCAAGGTGCTTTAATCACTTCTCGTGCTGTCAAAAGTTAAAAATCCAGATTTATATTCCCACACAAATTTGCGGTGGAAGTATTCTTGTACATGAATGTTCATAGCAGCATTATCTATATAATAACCAAAAAGTGAAAACATCCCCGTTGTCTGCCAATTGATGAATGAACAAAATGTGATATATCCATATGATGAAATATTATTCAACCATAAAAAGGAAAGAAGTACTGTAACATGGATGAACCTTGAAAACATTATGGTAAATGAAAGAAGCCAGACAAATGGCCACATATTGTAGGATTCCATTTATATGAAATGTCCAGAATAGGCAAATCCATAGAGATAAAAAGTAGATTAGTGGTTGCCGTGGGCTGGGAAGGTGGGGGATGTGCGGGTCGTGGTGACTACTAATGGGTATAAGATTTCTTTTTGAGATGATGGAAATGTTCTGGAATTAGTGGTGATGGTTACACAACTTTGTGAATACACTAAAAAACACCCAATTACACATTTTAAAAGGGTGAATTTTATGTTACGTGAATTATATCAACTAAAAAATAAGATACCTAAAAAATTATGTACTCATCTGGAATAGTCATTAAAATCACAATCATATTTAGAAACACACCCAAATCAGTATCATATATATATATATATATATATAATATAAACTATATAATGCATAGTCCTTTATTTAGCTGGTCTTATATATACATATGTGTATATATACATATAAATGCATGCGTTATAGAAATGTAAAGAATTTATATAATATTAAGGGTGTTGTGAGAAAGCCCACCAATCTTCATTGAGAAGTGACTCCCAGATCACAGGAGTCCCAGCTAACTTGGCCAAGACAAAGTAGGTTCTGGGAGGCTCCAGGCGCACCCCCGTATATCTTAGCCTGATAGGACAGCCCGGAAGTTTATAAGACTTCTGCTAACACGTGACCAGCGTAGCCACAAGGAAAAGGTGCAAGGCGCACTCGTGACGTCATTTCGGGGCGACCCTCTTCTTGGCGTAGAGTTTTCAGATTGCTCTTGGGAATCATGCCGAAAGTAGTGTCTCGGTCAGTAGTCTGCTCTGACACTCGGGACCGGGAGGAATATGACGACGGCGAGAAGCCCCTCCATGTTTACTACTGTTTGTGCGGCCAGATGGTCCTAGTGCTGGGTGAGTAGCCGGGAACTGCGGGGGCGTCTGCAAGGAGCCAGACTTCGGGTTCTTGAAGGCGAATTTCCTCTGGCTGTGATCTGGGAGCCACTTCTCAACGAAGATTGGTGGGTTTTCTCTCTCCGACTAAATCCTCCCTACGCATCCCCGCCCCACTCCAGGGCATTTTTTTTTTTCCTGCTTTTTGTTTAGCCTTGTGACTCTGTATCCAGACCTTCCTCAAAACTAAACTCCTTCAGGAGAACAAAAATAGAAACACAAACATATTGTATTTCCCTCTTAATCCACTGTCTTCAAAAACTACTGCCTCTAGAAGCTTTATAACTTTTCTGCTGGATACCAAGATGCTGCAGTTGCTCTTACCTCACAGCAAACGAAAATAAAACCCTCCCTCGATCCTGTATTCCCCTCCAGCTATAACCCCATTTCGTTGCTTCTTTTATAGCAAAGCTTCTCAAAAGAGTTGCCTATATTGGCTGTCTCTGCATCCTGACTTCTAATTCTCTCCTGACCTCACTTCAGGTAGGCTTTCCTTCCCACCTCATCATCTTAACCGTATTTGGCTCCATGTTAACAGTTCTAGTGGTCAGTTATCAATGTTCATTTTAATTCTGTCAGTGGCATTTGACAGAGGTAATCATTTCATTCCTTTTGCAACATGTTTTTTATTTGCTTCCAAGACTCCATACTCACTTGATTTTCCTCCTACCTCGTATTTCCCCCCCCCCTTTTTTTTCAGATGGAGTCTCACTCTGCTGCCCAGGCTGGAGTGCAGTGGTGCAATCTCGGCTCACTGCAAGCTCTGCCTCCCGGATTCAAGTGATTCTCCTGCCTCAGCCTCCCGAGTAGCTGGGATTACAGGCGCCCGCCACCATGCCCGGCTAATTTTTGTGTTTTTAGTAGAGACGGGGGTTTCACTACGTTGGCCAGGCTGGTCTCGAACTCCTGACCTCGTGATCCACCCGCCTCGGCCTCCCAAGGTGCTGGGATTACAGGCGTGAGCCACCGCGCCCAGCCTTAGATTTTTCCCCTTGTCTGGCTCCCTTTTCTCTCTCAGACTTTTAGGCATTCCAAGGCCCTATAGCTCAGTACTCTCACCTGTTCTCACTCTGTACCCACCCCCTAGGTGATCTCATTCATTCCCAAGCTTTAAATACAACTGACATGCTGGTAACTCCCAGATGTTCATCTTTAACCTGCACCTCTCCTGAGACTCCAATTGCCTATTCAACATCTCCACTTGAATGTCTAATGGGCCTCTCAAATATATCGTGCTGAAAATTGAGTTCATGACCCTCTACACCCCCTCTCCAATTGCTCCTCTTATAGTCATCCCTATTGCAGTCAGTAGTACAACTATTCATCCAGTATCTCAGACCAAAACCTGGAATCAGTCTTGACTTCTGTCTGTCACGTACCTTACATCTGTCCAGTCCATCAGGAAATCCTGCAGGTGCTTTCGTGAAAATGTATGCAGGATCTGACTGCTTCTTACCACCTCCATTCCTTTTTCTTTTTGAGACAGAGGGAGTCTCACTCTGTCACCCAGGCTGGAGTGCTGTGGCGCGGTCTCAGCTCACTGCAACTTCCGCCTCCCAGGTTCAAGCGATTCTCCTGCCTCAGCCTCCCAAGTAGTGTGCGCCACCAGGCCCGGCTAGTTTTTTTTTTTTTCTTTTTTTTTTTGAGATGGAGTTTCGCTCTTCTTGCCCAGGCTGGAGTGCAGTGGTGCGATCTCGGCTCACTGCAACTTCCACCTCCCAGGTTCAAGCGATTCTCCTGCCTCAACCTCCCTAGTAGCTGGGATTACAGGCATGTGCCACCACGCCCGGCTAATTTTGTATTTTTAGTAGAGATGGGGTTTCACCATGTTGGCCAGACTGGTCTTGAACTCCTGACCTCAAGTGATCCACCCACCTAGGCCTCCCAAAGTGCTGGGATTACAGGCATGAGCCACCACGGCCGGCCTACCACCTCCACTTCTAACACTGTAGTCCAAGCTACTACCATCTTTCACCTGGATTGGCACAATAGTCTCTTGCTCTCGTTGCTTCCACTCTTTTCCACATAGTAGCCAGAGTCCTGTTCAAAACCAATGGTTTCATATAACACTGAGAATAAAACCAAAGTCCATCCATACCAAGACCCTTGATCAGGCCTGTGGCTACCTCTCAGGCTTCATTCCCTAACAGTCTTCCTCTTGCTCATCGCACTTCAGCCACAGTGGCCTTTTTGCTTTTTCTCCATCATGTCAAAAGTGTTCCTGCCCCCCAGTGCCTTTTTAATTGGTATTTCTTCTGCCCCAAAAACTTTTCCCTCAATCCCTCCCTTACTTCATTCAGGTCTCTGCTAAAATGTAATTTCCTTAGAGAACCCTTCCCTGATTACCTTATCTAAAACAGCATCCCTGTCACTTTGTCCTCTTACCCTGCTTAATATTTAGCACTTATCATTACCCAAAATCATATTATAATTATTTTAAAATATGTTGCCTCTTCCACTAGAATGTAAGCTTCATCAGGGCCGGAACTTTTTTTTTTTTTTTTTGAAACAGTGTCTAGCTCTTGTAGCCCAGGCTGGAGTGCAATGGTGCGATCTCACCTCACTGCAACCTCTGCCTCCCAGGTTCAAGTGATTCTCTTGAGTAGCTGGGATTACAGGCACCTGCCACCATGTCTGGCTAATTTTTTTTTTTTTTTTTGAGACGGAGTTTCGCTCTTGTTGCCCAGGCTGGAGTGCAGTGGCACCATCTCGGCTCACTGCACCCTCCGTCTCCTGGGTTCAAGCGATTCTCCTGCCTCAGCCTCCCGAGTAGCTGGGATTACAGGCATGCACCACCATGCTCAGCTAATTTTGTATTTTTTTAGTAGAGACAGGGTTTCTCCATGTTGGTCAGGCCGGTCTCAAACTCCCGACCTCAGGTGATCCGCCAGCCTCGGCCTCCCAAAGTGCTGGGATTACAGACGTGAGCAACCGCACCCGGTTAATTTTTGTATTTTTAGGAGAGACGGGGTTTCACCATGTTGGCCAGGCTGGTCTCGAACTCCTGACCTCAGGTGATCCACCTGTCTTGGCTTCCCAAAGTGCTGGGATTACAGGCGTGAGCCACCGTGCCCGGCCAGGGCGGAGACTTTATCTGCTTTGTTGTTTGCTGAATCTTTAGCACAGTGTTAGAACAGTGCCTGCTACCTAGAGGGCCCTCACGTATTTATCGAAGAAATTAATTCTTGGTAAGGAGGTGTGGTGGAAACAGCATGTGCTTTTGAATCACTTAGAGTTGGGTCTGAATTCTTGTTCTGCTTCTTATTAGATGCATGGTATATCTCTTACCCTTTTTAACCTCAGTTCCTTCATCTTTAAAATAGGAACAACAAATCTTTACTTTAACCATTCATTGTGAAGAGTAAATGAGCTGACATGTAAACTGCCTAGTGTTCTCTAACTCCTCTCTTCACCTCCTCTATTCATCTTGAATTACTCTGACCACTTGACTTTCTCTGTGATCCTTTAGGTGCTTAATTTGCATTATATAAATTTTCTTTTTTTTTCTTTTTTTTTTCTTTTGAGAGACGGAGTTTTCCTCTGTTGCTCAGGCAGGAGTGCAGTGGTGTGATCCCAGCTCACTGCAACCCTCTGCCTCCTGGGTTCAAGCGATTCTCCTGCCTCAGCTTCCCAACTAGCTGGGACTACAGGTGTGTGCCACCACGCCCTGCTAATGTTTGTATGTTTTAGTAGAGACGGTTTCGCTATATGTTGGCCAGGCTGGTCTCGAACTTCTGACCTCAGGTGATCCACCTGCCACCTCAGCCTCCCAAAGTGCTGGATTACAAGCGTGAGCCACCGCACCTGGCCCATTATATCAATTTTCAATCTGCTTTACAACTGTACCTAATTTGTTTACTGTGTTTTCATTGTTTTCAGATTAAAATTCCTCCAACTAGGATGGATCATTTGCATACTATATAATCACCCTCTCTCTTCCTTTTTTTTTGTTTTTTGACGGAGTCTCGCTCTGTTGCCCAGGCTGAAGTGCAGTGGCACAATATTGGCTCACTGCAACCTCCACCTCCTGGGTTCAAGCAATTCTCTCGCCTCAGCCTCCCAAGTAGCTGGGCCAGGCTGGTCTTGAACTACTGACCTCAGGTGATCTGCTCGTCTTGACCTCCCAAAGTGCTGGGATTACAGGCATGAGCCACCTCGCCTGGCCTCTTTTTTTTTTTTTTTTGTAAAACAGAGACAGGGTCTTGCTGTGTTGCCCAGGCAGGAGTACAGTGGCTATTCACAGGCACAATCATGGAACACTACAGCATTGCACTCCTGGTCTCAAGCAATCGCCCTGCCTCATTCTTCTGAGTAGCTGGGACTATAGGTGCATGCCACCACGCCCAGCCTCTCTCCTTTTCTTAGCACATACCCACTTTTCCCAGTGCTTCCTTGTAGGCATTCCAGTATGCTTGATTGTGTCTCCTGATTCTAATGCATTATAACACAAACCAAGTGTACTATGATCACAGAAATACTTACAGAAACCTGAATTGCAGTATTGGGAAGGACTTTTGAGATAATATCATCTAACTCATCTTTCAAATGAGGCAAAAGTCTCCAAAGGAGGAAGTGATTTGCCAAAGATCACCAGGGTAGTAAGAGAGCTGGGTCCAAATACCAAGGTCTCCTGATAGCAAGTCATTTTTAGTTGGAACATTCAATAATAGGTTTCAATAAGCATAGTAATTGTAGTAGAAAATTCTAGTGCTAGGGATCCCACTCAAAACTTCTCAGGATATTTTGCAGTGACTCATTTGCTATATTTTGCCATGACTCTAGTGACCAAATCTCTCCATTCCTTCAGACTGCCAGTTAGAGAAATTGCCCATGAGGCCCCGGGACCGGTCCCGTGTGATTGATGCTGCCAAACATGCCCATAAGTTTTGTAACACAGAAGATGAGGAGACTATGTATCTGCGGAGGTAAGAGGTTGATGCTCCCTGTTTAGGATTTCCCTATTGTGTTGGAGTCTGTTTCTGAATAATATAAATATCACATCTATTGTTGAACAGGTCAGTTGGTCCCAATACTTTGACATTTGTGGTGGTTTTCTAACTTCTGTTAATGTAGTAATATCTTTATTGTGCTTTGTTGAAATGGTGCTCACATGTGATTCCATTGCTTTTTTTTTTTAATTGAGATGGAGTCTCACTCACTCTGTTGCTCAGGCTGGAGTGCAGTGGTGTGACCTCGGCTTACCGCAACCTCCACCTCCCAGATTCAAGCAACTCTCTTGCCTCAGCCTCCCCAGTAGCTGGGATGACAGGCGTGCGCCACCACGCCCAGCTAATTTTTGTATTTTTAGTAGAGACGCAGTTTCACCATGTCGGCCAGGCTGGTCTTGAACTCCTGGCCTCAAGTGATTCTCCCTCCTTGGCCTCCCAAAGTGCTGGGATTACAGGCATAAGCCACTGTGCCCGGCCCCTCCATTGCCATTTGATAGCCGTAGTTTGTTTACAATTTACAGGTTTGAATGAGTTCATTCAACCTGTAATCTTGTGGAGCATACCGTGTGCCAGGCACTGAGCTAGGTACTGGATCTGTGAAGATGAATAAGGTATGATTTTTACCATTAAAGAGCTCATGACTTTGAGGGAATGACTCCTATTGTGATAGGAAAAAATACTGGTCTTCTGAACGAAAGGAAAAACAGGTGGGAGTGGGTCATTTGTCCTGAATGGTGGCCAGGAAAGGCTTCAAAAGATGATGGCATTTGTGTTTAGCCTGAACTAGGATTTCACCAAGTAGATGAAGGGAATGAAGAGCATTCCAGGTGGAAGGAATATGGAAGCATTAAAAGCATCAAACATGGTGTGCTTTAGAAACCTGAATTGTCGTTTGTGACTGGAGCACAGGTTACTTTACAGGAACGGCATCATGCATACTAGGGTGAGGACAGAGTAAAGTGCTGAAGTGGACAAGTTTGGCCTTAATCTGTAGGCAATGAAGAGCCATCTCCGTTTTTTTTTTTTTGACGGAGTTTCGCTCTTGTTGCCCAGGCTGGAGTGCAATGGTGTGATCTTGGCTCACTGCAACCTCCGCCTCCCAGGTTCAAGCGATTCTCCTGCCTCAGCGTCCTGAGTAGCTGGGATTTCAGGCACCTGCCACCACGCCTGGCTAATTTTTTGTATTTTTAGTAGAGATGGGATTTCACTATGTTGGCCAGGCTGGTCTCGAACTTCTGGCCTCAGGCGATCCACCTGCCTCTGCCTCCCAAAGTGCTGGGATTAGAGGGGTGAGCCACTGCGCCCGGCCTATCTCTGTTTTTTAAGCAGGGGTGTGATGTGGTTAGCTCTGTTTTAGATTTGGGAGTTTGGTATATATGGGAAATTGAAACCTGGGAAGGGATAAAATTACAGAGTGTGGAGCAAGCAGATAGGACTGAATATTTAAAAGGCAGACAAAAGAATTGGAACAGAACCAGAAGAACCTGGTGATGCAGAAAATAGGAGAGAGTATCAAGAAGTGTGTGGGGGTGTGGCTAGGGGACGGTCAGCAGCAGGTGCTAGAAGTCATGGAAAGGTCAATCCTAGGGAATTAAAAAATCCATCCATTCATGCAACAAATATTTCATTTACCGAGCTCCTACTATGTTCCAGGTACTATCCTAGAAGTCTGGAATATATACCAGTGTATTAGTTTTCTTTTTTTTGGAGACGGAGTCTCGCTCTGTCACCCAGGCTGGAGTACAGTGGCGCGATCTCGGCTCACTGCAAGCTCTGCCTCCCAGGTTCACGCCGTTCTCCTGCCTCAGCCTCCCGAGTAGCTGGGACTACAGGCGCCTGCCACCATGCCCGGCTAATTTTTTTTTGTATTTTTAGTAGAGACGGGGTTTCACCGTGTTAGCCAGGATGGCCTCGATCTCCTGACCTCGTGGTCTGTCTGCCTTGGCCTCCCAAAGTGCTGGGATTACAGACGTGAGCCATCGTGCCCGGCCGCCAGTGTATTAGTTTTCTAGAGCTGCCATAGTAAAGTACTACAGCCTGGGTGTGGTGGCTCACGCCTGTAATCCCAACACTTTGAGAGGCTGAGGTGGGTGGATCACTTGAGACCAGGAGTTCGAGACCAGGCTGGCCAACGTAGTGAAACCCCATCTCTACTAAAAATACAAAAATTAGTTGGGCATGGTGGCGCGTGTGCCTGTAATCCCAGCTACTCGGGAGGCTGGGATAGGAGAATTGCTTGTATGGGGAGGCAGAGGTTGCAGTGAGCTGAGATTGTGCCACTGTACTCCAGCCTGGGCGACAGAGTGAGACACTGTCTCAAAAAATAAAAAAAAAATAAAGTACTACAAATTGGGTGGCCTAAAACAAGAGAAGTTGTTTAATAGTTGTGGAGGCTAGAAGTCTGAAATCAAGGTATTGGTAAGTCCATGCTCTCTCTCAAGATTGTAGGGGAGAATCCTTCCTTGCCTCATTCCTGGTTTTTGGCGTTTACCAGCAATCCTTGGCATTCCTTGGCTTGTATTGTAAATGCATCACTCCAGTCAGTGCTTGTATCATCACATGGCATTCTCCCTTTGCCTGTTCTTTTCTTATAAGGGCACCAATCATATTGGATTAAGGGCCCATCCTCCTCCAGTATGACATCATTTTAACTTAACTAATTATGTCTGCAACATCACTATTTCCAAATAAGGTCACATTCTGAGGTTCCTGGATGGATGTGGATTTTTTTTTCTTTTTTCTTTTTTCTTTTTTTTTTTTTTTTTGAGATGGTGTGTGCTACCATGCCTGGCTAGTTTTTGTGTTTTTAGTAGAGATGGGGTTTCACCATGTTGGCCAGGCTGGTCTCAAACTCTTGGACTCAAGTGATCCTCCCACCTCGGCCTCCCAAAGTGCTGGGATCACAGGCATGAGCCACTGTGCCCGGCCAGAATGTGAATTTTTAAGGGTCACTATCTAACCCAGTACAACCAGTAAACAGCAAAGAATCCTGCCCTTATGAAACTTTAGTGTTGAACCAGAAAAAAACTATAGGCTGACATCTAGCTACATGTTTTCTTTCTTTCTTTTCTTTTTTTTTTTTTTTTTTGAGATAGAGTCTCGCTCTGTCACCCAAGCTGGAGTGCAGTGATGCGATCTCAGCTCACTGCAACCTCTGCCTCCTGGGTTCAAGTGATCCTCCTGCCTCAGCCTCCCATGTAGCTGGGATTACGGTTGTGCACCACTATGCCTGGCTAATTTTTGTATTTTTAGTAGAGACAGGGTTTCAACACGTGAAGCTGCTCTTGTGAGCCTCCTTCTCCTTCTTTGGCCTTCTCAATCCTTTGGATTCTTTTTCTTCTGCCTGCCCCTCAAGTATTGGTATTCCATGCGGTTCTGACCTTGCTTTTGTCCCCACTCTCTTTATGCCTTCCTTGGGCATTCTTGTCACCTTACATGGCATTAGTTACACTTTTATGCTGATGATAAAATCTAAATCTGCCTACTGTGCCTTCCTGTGTCCCAGAACTGTATAGCCAGTTGCCTACTCTACCTCTTCACCTGATGTCCTACTTTTCAGATCCAACATGATGAAGGCCAAACTTATCATTTCTCTACTGTGGACAGTACCACAGATCGATTCGCTCAGCACCACTCTGACACTCTTTTTTTTTTTTTTTTTGAGACGGAGTCTCGCTCTGTCACCCAGGCTGGAGTGCAGTGGCGTGATCTCAGCTCACTGCAAGCTCCGCCTCCCGGGTTCAGGCCATTCTCCTGCCTCAGCCTCCTGAGTAGCTGGGACTACAGGTGCCTGCAACCACGCCCGGCTAATTTTTTGTGTTTTTAGTAGAGACGGGGTTTCACTGTGTTAGCCGGGACGGTCTCGATCTCCTGACCTCGTGATCCGCCCACTTCGGCCTCCCAAAGTGCTGGGATTACAGGCGTACTCTGACACTCTTCTGCTACACCCTCCTATACACGAGTGTCTGTAAAGTTAGGGTGCATATTCCAGTCCCCTTCCCCCCAACAACTAAGATTCTGAATATGACTTAGCTTTGGCCAAGCAAAAGAGATGGAAGTAGATGTCAGCTGATGGGTGACTTCAAGCCTTTTTTACCCTTTATCCTTATTCCATCCTGCTTCTTGGGAAATGGACATGATAATTGGAACACTAGCAGCCAGCCTGGAACTGGGAAGGAGAGGCCACAAGAATTGCAGAGCCTTTGCCCTGCTATCCTTGGGTCTCAACCAGTGCTCAGAACTGCCTTCCTCCTGATGTTACATGAGAGAACAAGCTCTTTTGTTGAAGCCATTGCAGTCAGGTCTCTATTACTATTAGCCAAATGCTAGTCCTTCTTTTCCTTCTTCTTATGATGACACCAGGATTCATGCAGTGGCCCCAGCCAGAAATCTAGGAGTCAGTCTCTCTTTGTCTCATCTGTCCCCACCATCCCACCATCATCCCCTGCATACATCTAGTCACTCACCATGTACTGTCGATTCTGCCTTCTAATCTCTTTTGTGGCTGCTGCCTCCTGTTCAGCCCTGCTGCACTGCCGTTATTTCAGTACCCAAAATCACTTACTTAGACTACTGAAGTGGCCTCTTACCTGGTCTTTTGGTCTCTAGTTTTGCTCTCCTCCAGTCTATCCTCTACTGCTTGAATTATCTGAAATACACATTATGTCAGTCACCTGCTTCAAATCTGTTAGTGACCCTTCATCACTTATAGCAATGCCTTTGAAACATTTTTAGATGAAAAATCCTTTCTTTAATTAAATTCTTACCCAGAAGTATAAATAAGACTGATAAGCAGAAAGCTGCTCTGAGTGGGGAGGAGTCTAGCCCAATCCATTAAGGACTCCTCCTTCCTCCCCATCTGATTTCATTTAGGGATCATTGTGGAGTACAAGGAAAACACTCCTAGTTGGCTGGATAAAAATATAAGCCTGAATGCGCTCTATGATCTGTCCATCTTCATCTTCTGGTACTCTCTTGATTTTTTTTTTTTTAAAGAACAAACATTTATCATTTTATGTATTTTCTGTGGGTCAGGAATTCAAGAGCAAGCTTAGCTAGGTGATTCTGGTCTCTCATGAAGCTGCGATTAAGAAGATGACTATGTAAACAGTCATCTGAAGTCTTTTTTTTTTTTTGAGGCAGGGTCTCACTCTGTCACGCAGGCTAGAGTGCAGTGGCACAATCACAGCTCACTGCAGTCTCGATCTCCTGGGCTCAAGTGATCCTCCCACCTCAGCCTCCTGAGTAGCTGGGACCATAGGCATGTGCCACCATGCCTGGCTAATTTTTAATTTTTTTTTGTAAAGACAGGGTCTTCCTATGTTGCCCAGGCTGTTCTTGAACTCCTAGGCTCAAGCAATCCCCCTGCCTTGTCCTCCCAAAATGCTGGGATTACAGGTGTGAGCCACCGTGCCTGGCCTGAAATCTTGATTAGGGCTGGAGAGTCATCTTCCAAGGTGTCTCATATGGTAGGCAGTTGAGTGCTAACTGTTGGCAAGAAGCCTCAGTTTCTCAACACAGGGATCTTTCCATAAGGCTGCTTGAGTATCCTCATGACATGGCAGCTGGCTTCCCATAATGTAAGTAATTCAGGAGAGCAAGGCAAAAGCCGCAATGTGTTTTATGGCTATGACTCAGAAGGCACACACAGTTGTTTCTGTGATGTCCTTTTGGTGTCACAAGTCAGCGCTATTCATTGTGGGAGGTGACTATACAAGGGTGTTAGTACCAGGGACAAGGATCATTGGGGGCCACCTTAGAGGCTAGCTACCACAGCCAGAATGGAGAATTTTTTTTCTTGAGATGAAGTCTCACTCTGTTGCCCAGGCTGGAGTGCAGTGGCGCAATCTTGGCTCACTGCAACCTCCACCTCCTGGGTTCAAGTGATTCTCCTGCCTCAGCTTCCCGAGTAGCTGGGATTACAGGCATGCACCACCATGCCTGGCTAATTTTTGTATTTTTAGTAGAGACGGGGTTTCACTGTGTTGGCCAGGCTGGTCTCGAACTCCTGACCTCAAATGATCCACCCGCCTTGGCCTCCCAAAGTGCTGGGATTACAGGCGTGAGCCACCGTGCCCGGCCGAGAATGTTTTGTTTTGTTTTTGGTCACAGAGTCTTCCCTATCTCATATATTCCTTGAGATTCAGGATAGGAAAGAAAATCAAGGTCAATTATCCCAAACATCTAGCTCATATTAATCACTTCTTTAAGTCATACCACTTGAAATTCTTACCTCATTTACATTAAAGTCTCACTATTTCAATAAGATGAACTTTTTGAGAGCAGGAACCCTGCCTTATTTTTCTGAAACCCTTAGGACAGACATCTTGCCTGCTTCTTGGCACATAGTTAGAAATAGATACATTTTTATAAACTTGACAAAATCCAGTTTGTCATTGGTACTTGAAGATTAACTCATTGAGAAATATGCGGCCCCATTTATTTGATATTTCTATGTGTTTTGAAAGCTTGAACTTACGGGATTGGCCGACTTCAGGATTCTAGGGGAAGTTCATTCTCTGTATGGTGAATCTCTCCCTTCAGTATGGGGTTGAATTTAGTCCCAGTGGGACCAGAGAGGGTATATAGAACCAAAAATATTATTAGTGCCCTGGTCCAGTGATGTCAATGAATTGGAGCACCTTTGACATAAGTAATACTTGTAAATGGAGAGGCAGAACATTAAAGATGATGGTCAGCACAGTCTGTATAGTTATATCCCAAGCAGTACCACTTTGTGACTTTGGGCAAGTAATCTTTTAGGCCCCCAATTTCCTTATCCTTCAATTGGGAAAATAATACCCATGTGTTGTCAAAGAGCAACTGGAAGTCTCCTACAGTACCAGAAAGACCACAAATAGTTATAATGACTTTGGAAAGTACTTTGGCAACATCCAGTATAGCTAAAGGTGCATATAATGTGTGCCTTATAAATTCTGCTTTTCATGTACACCTTAGCAAAGTGATTCTCAACCTTTGCTGTGTGCCAGAATCATCTGGAGGAGTTTTTTGTTTGTTTGTTTGTTTTAATGCGAATGCCTCAGCTTTACCCTCAGAGATTTCGTTTCTGTTTTCCACTTTTTTTTTTTTTTTGAGACAGTCTCACTCTGTTACATAGGCTGGAGTGCAACGGCGCGATCTCCGTTCACTGTAACCTCCGCCTCCCAGGTTCAAGTAATTCTTCCACCTCAGCCTCCTGAGTAGCTGGGATTACAGGCACCCGCCATCATACCTGGGTAATTTTTGTAGAGACAGGGTTTCACCATGTTGGCCAGGCTGGTCTTGAACTCCTGACCTCAGGTGATCTGCCCACCTCAGCCTCCCAAAGTGCTGGGATTACAGGTGTGAGCCACCACACCCAGCCGAGATTTAGTTTCTTTTAAATTGAGTTATAGTCTACATACCATAAAAGTCACCATTTTAAAGTGTATGATTCAGTGGTTTTAGTATGTTTGCAAGATTGTGCAAAAGATTGGACACCTCTGCCCTAGAGAAAGGAATGCTGCACAGAGGCCAAGAAAAGTCTGAACAGACAGGCCTTGCTGGATTTAGATAATGTGCTTTTTGTCCAATCACATTTCTACATGGTTGTCAATCATGCCTCTGTAACAAAGCTTCCATAACAACCCAGGAGGACAGGGTTTGGGAGGCTTCTGGATGGCTGAATATGTGGAGGTTCCTGAAGGGTGGCGTGTCCAGGGAGGGCATGGAAGCTCCACGCCCCTTGCCCCTTAGCTCACCCTGTGCATCTCTTCTCTGTATCCTTTGTGATATCCTCTGTAGTTAACTGGTAAACATTAACTATTTCCCTGAGTTCTGTGAGCTGCACTAGCAAAGTAATCGAACCCAAAGAGGGGGTCGTGGGAACCCCAACTTGAAGCTGGTTGGTCAGAAGTTCTGGAGGCCTGACTAGGCATGGCGGCTCATGCCTGTAATCCTAGCACTTTGGGAGGCCGAAGCGGGCAGATCACTTGAGGTTAGGGGTTCCAGACCAGCCTGACCAACATGGCGAAACCCTGTCTCTACAAAAAAGTTGCAAAAATTAGCCGGGCAGCCAGGTGCGGTGGCTTATGCCTATAATCCCAGCACTTTGGGAGCCTGAGGCAGGTGGATCATGAGGTCTGGAGATTGAGACCATCCTGACCAACACAGTGAAACCCCATCTTTACTAAAAATACAAAAAATTAGCTGGGCGTGGTGGTGCGCACCTGTAGTCCTCAGGAGGCTGAGGCAGGAGAATCGCTTGAACCTGGGAGGCGGAGGTTGCAATGAGCCAAGATGTGCCACTGCACTCCAATCTGGGTCACAGAGTGAGACTCAGTCTTAAAAAAAAAAAAAAAAAAAGTTTTGGAAGCCTGGACTTGCGACTGGTATCTGGTTAGTGGCCGGTCTTGGGGACCAAGCCGTCAACCTGTGGTATCTGACGCTGTGTCCGAGTAGACAGTGTCAGAACTGAATTGGAGGACACCTAGCTGGCATCCATTTATTGGAGTGTGGGGAAAAACCCACACACATTTGGCCACAGAAGTCTTCTTCTGTGTTGAAGGTTGTTGTTGTGGTGTGAGATCAGAGGAAAAACCCAGGTTGACAGAGTTTTTCCCAAACAGCTGGCATTCACCAATAAACCATCTGCCTCAGTTGTACTGCCTGCCTGCCCGCTTCCTCGTTCCTCCCTCATCTCTGCCCTGGCCAGTTAAGTTGGAGGGGAACCTTAGGAAGGACAGGGGAAACAGAGGAAGTAGAAATTCTTTTTTTTTTTTTTTTGAGACAGAGTTTTGCTCTTGTTGCCCAGGCTGGAATGCAGTGTTGCAATCTCGGTTCACTACAATCTCCACCTCCAGGGTTCAAGCGATTCTCCTGCCTCAGCCTCCCAAGTAGCTGGGATTACAGGCACGTACCACCATGCCCGGCTAATTTTTTGTATTTAGTAGAGATGGGGTTTCACCATGTTGGTCAGGCTGGTCTTGAGCTCCTGACCTCAGGTGATCCACCTGCCTTGGCCTCCCAGAGTGCTGGGATTACAGGTGTGAGCCGCCGCACCTGGCCCCCATTTTTAAATTGGTGTATTTGTCTTTCTGTTGTTGAGTTGTAAGAATTCTATGTTATGCATACTAGTCCCTTATCATATATATGATTTGCAAATATTTTCTTTCATCCTGTGAATTGTTTTCTCACTTTTTTGATGATATTCTTTGAAGCACACAAGTTTTAAATTTTTATCATCCCATATATCTGATTTTTTTCTTCCATTGCTTGTGCTTTAGGCATCATATCTAAGAAATGGCCAGGCGTGGTGGCTCATGCTTGTAATCCTAGCACTTTGGGAGGCCGAGGTGGGTGAATCATTTGAGGCCAGGAGTTTGAAACTAGCCTGGCCAACATGGCGAAACCCCATGTCTACTAAAAACACAAAAATTAACCATATGTGGTGGTGCACACCTGTAGTCTCAGCTGCTCGGGGCTGAGGTAGGAGAGAATCGCTTGAACCTGGTAGGTGGAGTTTGTAGTGAGCCAGCCAAGATCGTGCCACTGTACTCCAGACTGGGTGACACAGCCCGAATCTGTTTCAAAAATAAAAGAAGAAATGTTTGCCTAATCCAAGCATATGAAGATTTGCAGCTATGTTTTCTTCCAAGAGTTTTATAATTTTACTTCTTACATTTAGGTCTTTCATTCATTTTGAGTTAATTTTTGTATATAGCATGAGGTAGGGGGCTAAATTCATCCTTTTGCATGTGGCTATCTAGTTTTCCCAGGACCTTTTGTTAAAAAGACTGAGTTTTTCCCCCTTAATGGTCTTGGCACCCTTGTTGAAAATCAGTTAACCATATATGTATGGGTTTATTTTAGACTCTCAGTTCTATTCCATTGACCTGTATGTCTGTCCTTATACCAGTATCACCCTGTCTTTATTACTATAGCTTTTTAGTCAATTTTGAAATTGGGAAGTGTGAGTTCTCCAACTTTGTTCTTGTTTTTTCAAGATTGCTTTGGCTCTACTGGATTTCTTCCAATTGCATATTAATTTTAGGATCAGCTTAAATTTCTGTGAAAAAGCCAGCTGGGATTTTGAAAGGGATTGTGTTGAATCTGGAAATTCATTCGAGGAATATTGCCACCTTAACAATATTAAGTCTTCCAATCCATGAACATCAAAATGTGTTTACATTTATTTAGGTCTTCTTTAATTTCTTTTGGTAATACTTTTTAGTTTTCAGTGGACATTTCTTGCACTTCTTTTGTTAAATTTATTCTAGGTGTTGAATAGAAGTAGTGAGAGTGGCATCTTTATCTTGTTCCTGATTTTAGGGGGAAAGCTTTCAGTCTTTCACTATTAAGTATGATGTTAGTTTATGTGGTGCTATGATTTGAATGTGTTCCCCAAAAGTTCATGTGTTGGAAACAATCTGTCTGCCCTATGAATGGATTAATGAGGCTCTGCTCTTATGCATGGATTAACGTTGCTGTCATGTGAGTAGGTCTGTTATTGCAGGAGCGGCTTTGTTTTAAAATCGAGCTTTCTCATACTTACTTGCCC
The DNA here is from genome assembly GCF_000001405.40 of Homo sapiens. Classification (NCBI taxonomy): domain Eukaryota; kingdom Metazoa; phylum Chordata; class Mammalia; order Primates; family Hominidae; genus Homo; species Homo sapiens. The sequence continues at coordinate 707 of NW_025791817.1, read as the reverse complement.
TTCTGCCGTGTTATGATGCAGCACGAAGGCCCTTGCCCAATGCCGGAGCCATGCTCTTATGCTTCCCAGCTTTCAGAACTGTGAGAAATCAATCTCTTTTATTTATAAATTATCCAGTCTGTGGTATTATGTTACAGTAACAGAAAATGCACTAAGACGTGGGTAAACAGATGGGGGTTTTTCAGAGATGCCCTTTATTAGGTAGAGGAAGTTCCCTTCTATTCTTAGTATATTGAAGGGGTTTTGACTTTTGTCAAGTGCTTTTTCTATGTGTCTATTGAAATGATTATGTTTTTCTCTTTCCTTCTATCAATATGATGTGTTAATTTTTTTAGCTTTATTGAGGTATAATTGACAAAAATTGTATATGTTTAAGGGATACAGCTTGATATTTTGATATACATATACACTGTGAAATGATCACCACAATTAAGCTCATTAATGTATCTATCACCTCACAGTTACCATTTTCTTTGTGTGTGTAGGTAGTGAGGATACTTAACAAATTTAGAATGTACAATACAGTATTGTTAACTATAGTTATGATGCTGTACATTAGATCTCCAAAACTTACTCATCTTGCGCAACAGAAACTTTATATCCATTGGACAACAACCTCCCATTTCCTCCACCTTCAGCCCCTGGCAATCACCATTCTACTCTCTGCTTCTATGAGTTTGACTATTTTGGATTCCACAAACAAGTGA